>NC_000020.11:6278456-6429971 GCF_000001405.40 Homo sapiens | reverse complement strand
TTTCCCTAGGATAAATATAAGTCATGTATGCTCTAAAGCCCTTCTTCCAGTTCCTTAGACATAACATGCTTTCGGACAGGTTAAGACTGCCCTTTGCTAGAAATGTTCCTACCTTTACTCTTTCCTAGCTAATTCCTTATTTCTGCTGAAATGCTGCCTTTTCCCACCATCTCCAACTTAAGAACACCATTATAGTCTTTTACTGGAGTTTTATTCTGCTATATGGTGCTCATCTCAATTTGCAAGTGTGTGATTTTGTTTTAATGCCTTCCCTCGTTGTGAGCCACATGAGGGCTGGACCACAACCATGTTTCCACCACTGCAGCAAACATTAACCTTAGAAGCCGATAGACAATAAATAAATATTTGTTGAGTCAGTAAATGGACAATTTATTTTCAAATGGCAATTTTTGTTGCCAAGTTAAATTTGAATTTCAATCACACATGCTAAAGCAAACATCTTCCCTGAACTAAAAGGGCAACCACATATTGTCAAACATGATGACTTAGAGATCCTTTAGCATTGCACTGTCCAATATCGTAGCCACTGGTCATGAGAGGATATTTAAATTTGCATTTAAGTTAAATGTAAAATCCAGTTTCTCAGTTGCACTAGACACATTTGCAGTGCTCAAAAGCCACATGGGACTAGTGGAGATCATATTTGACAGCATAGATAAAGAACATTTCCATCATTGCAGAAAGTTTTTTTGGACAGTTATCCCATTCTGTTGGAATGCTTTGGAGGAATCATTCAAATACATAATCAAATTCTCTTCTGTTAAGGTATTCTAAACTAGTGTGAAGCTTCCCAAAACATCTTATTTGTAAAAATCTGTTTATAAACCTTGAGACTCTGATTCATCATGTTTGAAGCACTCTTGCCTGGCACACAACTCCTTAAGAAGTATTTGTAATTAAACCAAATAATTTTACATTTCCATGGACACAGGAAGGGGAACATCACACACTGGGGCCTGTTGTGGGGTGGGGAGAGGGGGGAGAGATAGCATTAGGAGATATACCTAATGTTCAATGACAAGTTAATGGGTGCAGCACACCAACATGACACAGGTATATATATGTAACAAACCTGCACGTTGTGCACATGTACCCTAAAACTTAAAGTATTAAAAAAAATGTATTTTCCAATAATGTTGACAAAAAGGATGTTCTAGTTTACTAAGTCTGACTCATCATCTGCCATTACTAAAATCAGCTCAGCCAGGTTTGCAAACTCCACAGAGTTATCTATGATTCTCTCTCCTTTTTTGCCCATTATATTAGGTTGGTACAAAAGTAATTACAGTTTTTGCGTTGTTGAAATTTGCTGTTTGATATGGGAATACATTCTTTAAAAAATGTGGTTATGTTATACATCATTTTAATGAGGATTTCTCACTTCATTTTTTTTGATAATGACATTACTTGCTTTTTATTTTATGTTTATTTTAGACTATGGAAATTATGTTTAAGACAAAAAGCAAATTTGAGCGATTTTCTTATTCAAGTTCAAAATGGGTCGTAAGGCAGAGGAGACAACTCACAACACCAACAACACATTTGGCCCAGGAACTGCTAACAAATGTATAGTGCAGTGGTGGTTCAAAAAATTTTGCAAAGAAGAGAGCCTTGAGGATGAGGAGCATAGTGGCCAGCCATCAGAAGTTAACAAGGACCAATTGAGAGCAACAATCAAAGCTGATCCTTTTACAACTACATGAGAAGCTGCCGAAGAACTCAACATCACCCATTCCGTGGTCATTCGGCATTTGAAGCAAATTGGAAAGGTGAAAAAGCTTGATAAGTGGGTGCCTCATGAGCTAAGCGAAAATAAAAAATAAAAAAAAGTCATTTTGAAGTGTCATCTTCTCTCACTCTATGCAACAACAATGAACCATTTCTTTTTTTTTTTTTTTTTTTTTGAGAGAGAGTCTCGCTCTGTTGCCCAGGCTGGAGTGCAGTGGCATGCTCTCGGCTCACTGCAAACTCTGCTTCTTTGGTTCAAGAAATTCTCCTGCCTCAGCCTCCCGATTAGCTGGGATTACAGGTGCCCACCACCACGCCCGGCTAATTTTCATATTTTTAGTAGAGACAGGGTTTCACCATGTTGGCCAGGCTGGTCTCGAACTCCTGACCTCAGGTGATCCACCCGCCTTGGCCTCCCAAAGTGCTGGGATTACAGGCGTGAGCCACCGCACCTGGCCTCATTAGCCATTTCTTAGTAGGAATTGTAACATGTGATGAAAAGTGGATTTTATAGGACGACCCGCAACAACCAGCTCAGTGGTTGGATCTAGAAGAAGCTCCAAAGCACTTCCCAAAGCCAAACTCACACTAAAAAAAGGTCATGGCCACTATTTGATGGTCTGCTGCCAGTCTGACCCACTACAGCTTTCTGAATCCTGGTGAAACCACTACATCTGAGAAGTTATGCTCAGCAAATTAATGAGATGCAACGAAAACTGCAAGGCCTGCAGCTGGCATTGATCAACAGGAAGGGCTCAGTTCTTCACAACAATGCCCGACTGCACATTGCACAACAAATGCTTCAAAAGTTGAACGAATTGGGCTACAAAGTTTTGCCTCATCCACCATATTCACCTGACCTTTTGCCAACCAACTACCAGTTCTTCAAGCATCTCAGCAACTTTTTGCAGGGAAAACGCGTCCACAACCAGCAAAATGCAGAAAATGCTTTCCAAGTGTTCATCAAATCCCAAAGCACAGATTTTTATGCTATAGGAATAAACAAACGTATTTATCATTGGCAAAAATATGTTGATTGTAATGGTTCCTATTTTGATTAATAAAGATGTGTTTGAGTCTGGTTATAGTGATTTAAAATTCACAGTCCAAAACCACGATTACTTTTGCACCAACTTGGCCTTAACTCAGAACTGTCAACTATTGTCTCCTTACTTCTCTCTGTGTGTCTCTTTTTTTTCATATATGCCATGACACCTACAGGCCAGGCTCTTTTAAGCTCTTGTTTGGATGATTTACAATTGATATTACTTCTAGACACTCCCCTGCCAGTCCATTCTATAATCAGCTGTCAATTAAATAGGACCTTATTGCATCACTTTCCTGCTCAAGTAACTTTCTAAGATACTTATTAGCCAGCATTTAAGACTCTTGACATTATGTTCTCAGCTTACCTTCCTAATAATCCTAATAATATTCCCCCCACTCCCAACTTCTGCAGGCAGATTCACGTACTCACTGTCTCCCAAGCACACCAAGGCCATTTCAGCCTCAGCACATTTGGTCTCACCACTTCCCCCACTGATTGTTCCTTTTCTTCCTCTACAACTTCCTCAAATGTCTCTAACTCTCATTGCCTCTTCTTTTTAATAACTTTTGAAAATGTGCTTATTTATATTGTTCTTTTGGGTCTGAATCATATACTCTTCCTGTCATCCCTTATATTATCATCATCATAAATATTAGTATTATAATAAATGGGTTTTTTTTGCTTACATAGCAATATGTTAACATACCCTTTTCTTTCCTGACATAAAATAAGCTCTTAAGAGTAGATATGTTGTATTACTTCCTTTAGCACCTCACAGAATTTAGGACAACATAATACTACAGAGACAGAGAGAAAGAGAGAGAGGGAGAAGGGGAGGGAGAGAGAGGGAGGATGGGGAGAGAGAGACAGAGGGAAAGAGAAAGGGAGACAAGAGAGAGAAGAAGAAAGAGAAGGGGAGAGGAAAAGTGGAAGAAGAGGCAGAGAGAAAAAGAAGGGAGTGGGAGAGGAGGAGGAAGGGAGCGAGTCAGGGAGAGAGGGAGAAAGGGAGGAAAGAGGAGAGAGAGAGAAGGGGGAAAGACTGGAGATGGCGGTGGAGAAAAAAGAGGGGAGAGAGGAAGGGAGGGGGGAGAGGAAAAGAGAGGAGAGAGAGAAAGAGGGGTGTGTGTGTGTGTATATATATACACACATAGATATATACACATGTGTACATACATATATTTAAGGAGTATATATACACATTATAAGTGTACGTATTATGTATACATATATGAGTGCCTGTGTGTGCACATAAATCCACATTTAATGAATGAGCAAATGAAAAAGTCTGCTTCATTCTCACAGGTTTGCCTTGACTTCTTAGCATGTGTCTTTAATTTTTCTGGTAAACATTCAGGATATCACATAGGAAAATCACATATCATGCCAGAAACCACTTAACAATGTGGGCTCAAAACCGCCATGCCAAGGCAATTACTTCCTTCAAAATGTCATCTTTGGTCTCTTCCTTTTTATTCTTGCTACTTTATTCACAGAACTACCACTCTCTCCTCATTTAAAAAAATGTAATCTTAAAATCCAAGCCCTGTGGTCTGAAGCCTATTTTATAAGAAATCTCTTTCTTTTGGCAATCAGATATTGAGAAACAGTACAAAAATGAATGAGAGACTATATCAGTATTCAACTATACATATATGGTAAAAAAGAAAAACTGAAGCTCTGTGTTCACTCAATTCAAACAGAAGCTTTTACTTTAACATACTGTGCAGCTTAAAGAAAGAGATGACATCAAAACATATGAAATCATGTTAGGGTCATGCTTGGGCATCAATTAATGCCTTCTGTCACAATGTTGACATACTTCTAAACTTTTCATTCTTAAGTCCTTTGGAGAAAAAACACTACTGTCAATTCTCAAGCATTTATATTTAAAAAAAAAACAAAATTTGAATAACCCCAAGTAATAAATAAGCAACAATTATTTAAATTTGATATTCAAATATGTTCTAACATTTTAATATGTGTGTGCCAAGCTTTTCAGGAATTCTATGTCAAATAGAACCCTGACACCAGATCATGAAGACCTAGACAAGTTTAGAGGTTGTCCAAAATCTTTCTTGTCTTTTCTCTCTTTTTTTTTTTTTTTTTGAGACAGAGTCTTGCTCTGTCACCCAGGCTGGAGTGTAGTGGTGCGTGATCTCACTGCAACCTCTGCCTCCTGGGTTCAAGTGATCCTCCTGCCTCAGCCTTCCATGTAGCTGGGACTACAGGCACGTGCCACCACGCCCAGCTAATTTTTGTATTTTTATTAGAGAGAGGGTTTCGCCCTGTTGGCCAGGCTGGTCTCGAACTCCTGACCTCAGGTGATCCACCTGCCTTGACCTTCCAAGTGCTGGGATTATGGATGTGAGCCACTGCACCTGGCCCAAAATCTTTCATACTTGCCATTTCTTACCCTTTTTCCACTTTCCTCTCCCAGCCTGACTGGAAATAATCTGATAAAAGATTTGTCTTCTCTCAAATCTCCCTTGCTTAAAAGAAAGTGAAGACAGTCAAGCATTTTTCAAAGGTCTTTTCTGAATGCAAAACAAGTAAATATTTGAGATGTCAACAATATTACAATTGTTGACATAGGTGCAATAGCCTGTGCAATAGGTAGAATCCATAGGTGCAATCACCTGTGGAGCCCTTCTCTGTAACCCTCCGTGCCCTCTCCTTGTCATTTTTATCCAGAATTTTAGTTCCACCTTTAAAAAATATTAATAATATTTACCAATACGGCTGGACGTGGTGGCTCAAGCCTGTAATCCCAGCACTTTGGGAGGCCAAGGGAGGAGGATCATCTGAGGTCAGGAGTTCAAGAACAGCCTGCTCAACATGGTAAAACCCCATCTCTACTAAAAATACAAAAATTAGCTGGGCGTGCTGGTGGGCACCTGTGATCCCAGCTACTCAGGAGGCTGAGGCAGGAGAATTGCTTGAACCCAGGAGGCAGAGGTTGCAGTGAGTCAAGATCGCGCCACTGTACTCCAGCCTGAGCGACAAGAGCAAGACTCCATCTCAAAAAAAAAAAAAAAAAAGCCATAAACAAAAACTTCTAAAAATAACATTTACCAATACAATTTATGAATTTGCTTATTCACAGTTGCTTCTTTAAAAGGTCATCTTCTTAGATGGTATCTTCATTGAAGGGTGTGACTGGTACACTTTCTTGGTTTTTGCACATTTGATGCTCACTTTCAAATGGTAGTTTAGCTGGTACCGAATTCCTAGGGAGTAACTTTAATGAGGGAATGTTCTTGGCAAACTCTGTTGGGTTTTTGCACATCTGAAAATGTTCTCATTTCATACTCACTTTTAAATGACAGTTTAGCTCAATATGGAATTCTAGTTTCTTTTTCTTTGCATTTTGACAATACTATTCCTTTGTTGTTAAGCATCTAGTTTTGAAGCTGAGATGTCAGCCATCAGCCTAATTGTCATTCCATTGTAGGTAATCCGTCTTTTTTTTTCCTCTTTGGCAACTTTTCAAGTGTTCCACATATCCTTGATGCTCAGCAACTTCAATTAATCTTTCTGAATGTACTTGATGTAATTTTCTCAATACTTGGTATGCACTTTCAATCTGAAAACTCATGTCTTTCTGGCATTATTGAAAGCATCAGTAATAATTCATTTTAATGTTTTTTTTAACCATTCCTCTTTTCTCTCCTTACAAAAAATTATATATATTTAGGGGTCTTTCAGTTTATTGTTCATTACCCTAATTTCTCTTCCAAGATTTTATTCTCTTTACCCAGTCTAAGCAGCATTATGGGTGAATTCCTCAGTAACATCATTCAATTCACAAATCCTACTTTTACTGTGAATAACCAGCTAGAATATTTTTAAATTTCAATGACTGTGTGTTTATTTCATATCCAGGATTTCTAAAATATTTTTCTATACTTATCCGCCTTAATACACAGCTGACTGCCTTTGTTTTATAACTTTTGTTACTTTCCTTAAACTTGTTTATTATGAAGTCAATTTTCATCTTATCAGGAGTTAATCTGAGTTATGATTGCTGTGGCTGTGTCTGTCTTGGCACTGGTTACTCTTGTGTGCTTCAGCGTTTTAGTTTTCAGATTTATTTTGAAGGTTGGGGGAGGTTAGGATTACCGGTCATCCCGATTTGCTCAGGACTAACAGTGTTCCTGGAGCGTAGAACTCCCCATGGTAAAAGTGGAAAAGCCCCAGCCAAACTAACAAGACTTGGTGTTCTTAGAGGATGCTTGCTTCCTTCTCTCTGGCTAATGGTTTTTAAGTTGCCTCCCTCCCGTCTTCTGTAAGAAGGACTGGTACATCTAGAACTAAGCCTTCTATTGGCAGCTGAAGGCTCTTATCCCACAAAACAATACATTTTCTGAACCAGCAAAAGGCTTAGTCCAGCCCTGGTTGCAAGGCTCTCTCTCCAACCCTGAGCTTTAAGCATTGATCCTGTCTCTTCTGAGCCTTTTTCATGACAGAGGAATGCCAATGCCACCGCAATTTTATGTAAGGAGGCTAACTCAGTCCCCAAACATAAGTTGGTGCTATAACCACTCACCCTCCAGAACCAGACTCCTGACTATCCATGCTTATTTCCAGATCGAGAGAACAGTGGGCCTATAGCTTCAGTCAGGCCCACCTTACCACTGATTCCCTGCTCTCTTTCTATCTCTCAGTATACCCACATCTTTTAAATAGTTAAAAATTATTGTCTATTATATCTTTGTTTGAAAAAAAAAAAGGTAGAGTTAAAGGTAAAGTTGAGTTTCACAAAACCATTTTCTCCAAAAACCTCTATCACAAAAGTCAGACATTTAAACACCATGCCAGTTGAAAGCCTTGTAGAGTCTTTCGAATCTCTATATGGCCACTGATTCCTCTCAGTATTATCTCTGCTCATTCTTATCATGCAACACCATTTAACGTGCAAAAGGAATTTCTCAACTCTTGGAAGTTTAAATATTCATCAACTTCAAGTAGCACAAATACAGCTGAGAATCAGGAATTGAGAAAGAGCACTTGGCAAAAAATGAAAACAGGTGTCTCAAAGTTTACAGAAGAAATTATAGGCCTATTATCCACAGGGAAGTTTATAATTCATCAGCATGTGCAGCCCTTGGGGATGGAGGTTTTATTCATCTTTATATCCTGAGCACTTAGCATAGTGCCTGTCACATATTAGGCACTCAACACGTTTGGAGTGAAGTTGTTTGAACTATAAGGAGAGCTCTATGGGCCTTTATTCAGAGGCTAGTTACTTTTACTTTATAAATATTTGTGACTTGTTTGACAGTACATCAGAAGACAAATAAAAGCAAGAGAGAAAACAGAATAAAACTTTAAAGGCATACGTGGGATTCAAACAGACTAGCTCAAACAGACGTTTATTTGTTAATAGATCCCGAGAGCATCACTATTATGACACGACATAAAAACTAAAAGGTATAATGATTCTCTTGATGCAGGAAGAAAAGATTAAATTACATAAGCATAAGTAGGTTTTGCTTAAAAAGACAAAGTAATAAAACATATATTTTAGAATGATTTCCATATATAATGGGTAAATTTTTTAAAGAGGTGTTTATGCCTGAAGGTATTAAACCCTGAACTGCTTGGAATACTCAAATGCTATGAACAATGCCCTCTTTGAACGTGGTGGAAACAGTTGAAATCTTTCTGCATCACAAGATCTCAGTCACCCACCATTATGATGGAATGGCCAGTTCCAGAAAAGCGTTTTTTTTCCCCCGTTAGTAAGATTTTAACTCCTTCAAGCAAACCACTATATTACCCTTGGTGGTATTTGAGCTGTAAAATACCAACACCTCCCTCAGAAATACAAGTCTGCCTTAAGAACTGCACAGGTAGAAGAGGCTTTTGGCCTCTGCAAGTCATTGGTCTCATTTTCCACCATGGATTTCCTCTGGGTTGCTTGCCTATTTCATATCCCTTTCAATTTCCAAGTCTCCCACTGGCCTCTTGCCTCTGTGTCTGCCACCACTTAAATCCCGCCCACTCTTTTTCCTATTCCTTACTGATTGCCCTAGGAACCCTAATTTAATGAGGCACCCTCTGTGACATCACTAGGCTTACAACAAGTTATGATAATTCTCATTTTATGGATGAAGAAACAGAACTTTGGAGGTCAGTTACAAGCCCATCTAGATAGAAAGTTACAGAGCGCATGAGAATTTATTCCAAGCCTAAATGATTCCAAGAACACCAGGAGTCTTTGCCTCAACCTAACACTACTTCCATCACTTCACTCTGCCTCCCTGGAAGTAACCAGGAGGGTGTTTACTGTGGGCTGCCAAGGGGAAAAGGAAGCATGAACCAAATGGGAGGAGGGACAGCAAAGAGGACAGGCAAACAACCACAGGTAGATGAGCTATGATTTTCAAGTAAAAAGGACTTTAATCACAAATATCTATGCCTTTGTAAACTGTCTAATACATAAGATGATTTAGTTTTTTATGCAAGAAGTCTAGACCACCCTCTATACTTCTCTAGAAATTAGATTTTGTAGTCTTTGGGCCCAAAGAGGACCTCAGCTGAAGAAAAAAAATACAGGGAAAATGTTTTCTGAAGGATCAGTTCGGTTTCAGGGTGTAACAAATAGATGTTCCAGGAGGGTAAAATGATGACATCAGCTGGTCTTTTGCAATCTCCTATAGAATTGTTTCCAACACTGTAACAGCTATGTGTAGTCTTCTCTACATTCTTCAAAAAAAAATGCTTTTTGAAAGTTACTTTTCACAGTTTAGATTTCATACCCATGAAATATGACCTTTGAGTCACCTTAAAATCTTAAACTTTTGATAAATTTTTATCATATTTGTTTATAAATGGTTGTTAAACACGAATGAAGCTCACATGAGTAAATAAATATACTTTTTGTTAAGTACTCATTTCACAAAATTGTAATAAATTGGTCCAAAGACTGCTTCTTCAAATCAGTAAGGAAAAGAAACAACCAAAGGTGAAGGATTCCAGGGAAGCTCACAGAAGGAGAAATCCAAATGACCAATACAAATATGAAGATTTTTCAGCCTCAGCAGAAATCAGTGAAATAACAAAATACAAATGAAAACAATGGTAAAATATGACTTTATACTCATCAAAGTAACCAACTTTGAAAGCCAAAAGTCTGAAAGTACCAATTGTTGGTAAAAATAAGGTAAAATGAGACTTTTACACAACTGACATGGGGTGCAAATTAGTTCAATTACTTGAAAGAGCAATTTGACAATACCTAGCACATTTGAAGATGTTCTACCAGTCAATCTATCAATCTGGGTTTATACCCTAAAAAAAAATTCCTCACATGTATTCACAAAGAAATTTGTAAAGGATGTTTCTTACAAAATTTTCACTATAGTAAAAATTATGGAAACAACTTACATATCACAGACAAAGAGGTTAAGTCATTGTGGGTTATTCATAAATGGAATGTCATATAGCAGCTAAAATGGATGAACTAGATGTATATGTACCAACACAGATAAATATCAAAAACTTTATAATGAAAGAAAACCATGTGTTGTATATAATAACATCTATGCACATTTGAAACATGTAAGATAATATTATAAATTATTTGTGGATTCATATATTTGTAAGAAAACTAGAAAAGAATGAATGAGAATGGAGACCAATTTCAGGAGGGAAGAGAAGAAAGGAATAGGATGAATGTGGCGCAGTATCCACAGTATTTTATTATTTAAAAATAAAAAGATCTGAAACAAGAAAGAGATCTGACACGAACATGTCCAAACTTACCTCTGAAATCTAGGTAATAAGCATATGATGTGGCCTATATTATTTTCTATATTGTTCTAGAGGTCTGAAACATTTCATAATTTATAATTTAAGCAACATATACATGTTACATATATGTATAATTAAAATTATAATATATAAAAAGAAACATGCACAAAAAAAAAACCAAAATATTAAACGTAGTGATATCAGTGAAGCACCAAAGCTGTTGGCGAATCTTTCTCCTATTTCCTTTCATGTCCAAATATTGTTTACTGTGCATATATTACTTTTACATTTTAAGAATGTATGAGTTTAACTATAAAATTTGATTTGCATGTTTTCTTATCTTTTAATAGGAGAAGTTTTGTCTTTTAAGAGATAAAGTAAATGACTCATACTTCTTTTAAGGCTACACATTACTAATGAATGTCTTTAAATTTAGCATTGTAAATATTGAATTCAGTAGTTACAATTACTTAAATGAGTCAGTGTTTGTTTACACAGTCAAGCCAATGCTTCTAAAATAGTTTTAGCTGCTGTTTAAAAAAAAAAAATGCTACTGCAAAGTTTTGGTCATCATAAATTCTCTTTTCAAGTAATTGCATTGTCCCCAGTTTGTCTGTAAGTAATATCCAACTGAAAGCTGCATCAGTGTGATGGAAAATCCCCCATACTGGTGAGTAGGCAGCTAAATACATGTATTTTATAAATAAAGTTAAATGGTTCTACTTTTTTAAAGGTTAACAAGTACCCTGATACATATTTACAATGTCAGAACCAGGAGGGAACATAGAAACTAGCTCATTTAACCCCACAGTCTTACAAAAGTAGAACGACATGCAAGGAGATTAAGTGTTAATGTCATTCAGTTTACGAGGGACAGAGGCGCCACCACATCCCAGGTGATTCTCCTTCACATGGGATGCCCTGTATAAACCACCAAATTGCTGGGAAGACTTCTAACATCCATGTAGAGTTCTGCACTATAATGCTTAAAAAGCATTCAGCTGTATCAGGGTCTGAAAGCTCAAAGAAAATAGAATGGAGAGAAGAAAGCAAGTTAAATCTTTAAACTGAGGTTTAGTCTTTCAAAATCTCAACTATCTGAGTTAGTGCTTTTAAGCGATTCTTATAGCGTAGAAATATCTTCCCAAACACAAGAAGTACACAGTCCCACTGTTCCCCATCCTTCCAAATTTCTACCTGTACATTCATCCACATGTGAGATTCCATCCCCTTTTCTCTCTCCCTCTCTCTTTTCCTTCCTTTGTTCCTAAATATAGCGAATATCCCTTGATTGCCTACTATTATTTAGGCACGCGATGATGGCCCATGTGGTCCCTAGGTTCGCAAAGCTTATAGTCTAGCGCTCTGGGGTCCAATATGGTAGCAACTAGCCACATGTGGCTATTTAAATGTAAAATTAAAATTTTAGTCTTTAATTGCACTAGCCACATTTCAAGTACTCAATAGCCACATTGCAAATGCAGAAAATTTCCACTGTCACAGAAAGTTCTATTGGAAGCATTTATCTAGAAGGGGAAGATAGGAAATTAAGCAATTACAATGCAAGTTGTTGTATAATGCTATATGGAAGTTCAGCAACCATTGGAGCACTAAAAAAGTTATTCCAGATGATGATAAATGTCAGGGAATAAACACAAATGTTGCTTCCATCAACTCCATCTGTATTAGAATTTCTGGCTGTCTCTCTGATCTTCTCTATTTACTTTGCCTCTTCTTGTCCTTCCCCTTCCTCATTGTCCTGGCTGGTGGGAGCAGTAGGCCCCACATCCCCAAAGAAAATTAAAATAAAATGCCACCTTCTCAATCCTGCCCAATCTATTCCTCAAGTTTGTTCCCAATGACTAAGTCTGCCAGCTTAATACTTGCCCATTCAAAACAAAATACTTCCAACAAAGGTTCTGCAGGAAGCTTTTTGTCATGGGCATGACCTCGTGGTCTCTGACGCCAAATGACCAGGGCAGGCCTGAAAAGGGGGAAGTTTATTAAGTTCCCAAAAGGGATGCTTGCTTTGAGATCCTGTAACAATACAACAATCTCTTCTGTTTGTCTACACAGGCAATCAACTAATTATGAGATCTGTTTACTCGCTGGTTTTAAATATTCTAATCATCCCCTAAATGTCCTCAGAGCCAAGAGTTAACTCAAACACAGGTGCAGAAGAGCTAACACAAAGAAAGAGAAATAATATACAAGATCAAGTGAGAAATCAGACCCTCTATGGTTTACTTACATAATGGCTGTTGTCATGTCCCTAATGGACACACCACAGGTAAACATGTGACTACAGAAAATCCCGGCTCAGTCAGATTGGGTTTGGGGAAACCAAATGGACAGGGAAAGTGCATTCAAAGAATATTTTTTAAAGCAAGATTTCTGGTACATTCATTTCTGAGAAGGTAAATAAGGATTGACAGGTCTTTGGGAGTATATTTGCTTTAAAAAAAAAAAAAGGATAATGGTTATTTAACTACCAAAGCAATTACTTGCAGGTAAAATCCTTCAAAGTGCTTTCATATCTTTATATAAAGATTTAGTGATACAATCCCACCCAAAGCAATTTTATTTATGCTGTACAATTACATAGCAAATCTTTTTCTGTTTTAACAGAGCAAAGTTTAGCTTAATTCTGGGTTCTTTCTGAAGGATCACAAATTCAAGATGATTTTGATTGTTGGAGGAATCATTGTTAATATAAAGTTAATCTTCTTCAAGAGAACTATTATCCATATATTACTTTGCCCCTCTGGATCCATTGTGCACCCTTTTCTACTCTGCTCTGCATCCCAGGGACTGACCTCTACAGAAGGCTACATTGGGAACCCTGGGCTTGGCCAGTAGGAGGCACTAACAAGCAGAAGCATGGTGTGAAGGAGGAAGAGGGCACGATGGGATCAAGGTATTTTTCTTCCAGCTCCCTCCCTTTAGGCTTTGGTAGGCAGTGGCTGCATTCCTCTGTCAAAAGCCGTGACTTTTGTTGAGTGATCCCTTCTTCATAAACACAACCACAACTAGAGAGCCTTCCTGTTTTGACAACGTCTCCATCCCTTTACCCCTTTAGGTCTAGGAGTGGTAACACACCCTGATGTTAGTAGCCCCAGATGCTCTGCCATTCTGTTGGTTTTCCTCAACCTATTGTAGTTTTGTACAAAGAACCCCATCATTAAACTCTCCTCAATATGCCATTTAAGTGTGGTGTCTGTTTCCTGCTGAGATGTTAAAGGAAACAAGCCTAACTGAAGATGTCTTTCTCCAAGATCTATCTGCCTTTATGGGAGTGTAACTAAAGTGAGAATTGAGTATTGGAATACTGGAATATTGGAAGAGAACCAACCTCAGGTGTTATCTTAGATTCTTTGCAGCCCACAAGCTCAAAAGAAATGGAGTAGCTACATAGAATGCTGACAAAGACTTCCAGGAATGCAAAGATGCTCAGTGTCTTAACTGAGACAGTCAAGATGCAACTGAGAGAAAAAAAAAGAAATGCACCCATGATTTTACTTCTCTGCCCTCTTTCATTCATCTCTTGAGATGTTCCCCATTTACAGAATCATTCTGGATGCTTTGGATAGAGAAATGGGAGGTTCCTAAAGCCTTTCTAATATCTTCTCCTTTCATGTGTCCCAGCTCAGAAAGCAACAGACCTCTTGATTTTTCTTGAATCTTCCAGGTACATTCCCATCTCAGGCTTTTGTACTTTCCTCAAAAAGGTCAAGGACCTCATCTCTTTCATTTGCTGCTTTATCTCGAAAAACAAGTACCAAGGAGGTGCTCCACTAACTAATTTATTAATCCCAAATTAATCTATTGTTAAAATGTTTTGATGAATTGTGCCATTGCTGTTCTCCATCAGAGTGGGTCATCAGTGGAAAATTATTTAACACAATATTTCAGAAATGTATAGAGTGCATATGCATTGTCCTATTTCCTTTTGTGTGACCCCAATCCTTGGGTTCTGAGAACACCACCTCCTCCCTTTGTTGCTGCAGACCTAATGGTGGCAGCAGCTTCCTGATGTTGCTGATCTATGGGCTGTCTCAACTGCTGCTGTTTGTCCTTTCAGTTCTTCCAACCTCTTAATTCACTTTCATATTAAATTCCCTTTAATAAACAACCAGGTATAGAAGAAAATTTTACCGTTGGACAAGGAATAAAACATTTTTTAAAAAAATAAGCATTTTTTTTAGATTCATGATTTGGAGGCTTCATTTATGTCACAGTATAACATAATGGGCACTGAATTGGGAATCAAAAACTATAGACTCAAGACTTATTTCTACCACAAGTTGTTTAGTAGACAGATTAGAACCTGTCTCCATAACCCTCTGGCCCCTTTTATTGCAGTCTGCCAAACCAAATTTTCAATGACAAAATCTGCATATCACTCTACATGAGCACACAGCAGATCAGAAGACCTAGGGAAATAATTACCCTTGCATTAGTGCAATACATATATTAATTGTATAATATATATGTGTATATAATTTTATTTACATATATATACATTTTTACATAGACACAAAATTCTGGAGGTCAGAAGTCCAAAATGGGTATTGCTGGGCTCAAACCAAAAGGTCAACAGGGCTGCATTCCTTTCTGGAGGCTCCAGTGAATAATTCATTTTCTTGCATTTTCTACCTTATTAGATGCTTCCCACATTCTTTGGCTCATGGCTCCCTTCTACCTTCAAAGATACTCAGTTGTTCTCATATCACACCACTCTGACTTCTACTCCATTGTATCTCCTTCTCTGATACTGATTCTCCTGGCCCTCTCTTTTACTTATAAGGACTCTGATAACATTGAGCCCACTCAAAATCCAGGACAATCTTCCTTTTTGTTTTACAGTTCTTCTTTCAATCTATCTCTTTTCTCTCACATTTTACTATAAGCAACAAGAAGTAAACAGTTTGCACCTTCTTCCCTTTTCTTAGAAATCTCCTCAGCTAAATCTCCAAATTCATCATTTATAAATTTTGCTTTCCAAATAACTGTAAAACACAATTCACCTAAGTTTTCTGTCACTGTATAACAAGGATCTCCTTCCCTCCCACTTCCAAGAAAAAAAAAAGCTTCCCTGTTTCTATCTGAAGCCTTTCCAGCAAAACTTTTAACATTTGTATTTCTGCCAAAAGTCTATTCATGAAAATTTAGGTATTTTCTGAGATGATATGTTTTTTCTATTGTGCTCCTCAAATCCGTCAAGTCCTCACCAACAGAGTCATTAACATCCATATTTCTACTATAAGTCTGTTCAAGGCTATCTAAGCTTTTTCTATCCTGCCAGCCAAAATTCTTCCAACCTTTGCCCACTGCCCAATTTCAAAACCATTTTTACATATTTTTTTACAGCAGCACTCCACTCTGGTACCAAAATCAGTATTAGTTTCTATTGGCTGTGTAACAGGTTGCCATAAATTTAGTGGCTTAAGTAAATACATCATTATCACATAATTCTGGAGGTCAGAAGTTTGCAATGGGTCTCACTGGGTTAAAGTCAAGGTGCCAGTAAGACTGTATTCCTTTCTGGAGGCTCTAAGGAAGAATTTGTTTTCTTTCTTTCTCCACCTTCTAGAGGCTTCTCACATTTCTTGGCTCATGGCCACCTTCTATCTTCAAAGCCAGCAACAGATAGTTGAATTTGTCTTACATGTGACAATCTGATGCCACTGTCACATCTCCTTCTCTGACTCTCACACTCCAGCCTCCCTCTTTCACTTATAAAGACCCTCGTGATTATATTGGGCCAACCCAGATAATCACAGACGATCTCCCAACGTCAAGGTGCAAAACTTAATCACCTCTGCAAAATCCCTTTTTCTATGTAAGGCAAGCTCTTCACATGTTCCAGGAATTAGAATGTGGATATTTTGGGGGAGCCATGATTCTGCCTCATCCTGGGATCAGCTCTTAATCAGTGACCAGAAAGAATTAGTGTACAAATAATCCAGCTCCCTTGCCCCTCAGAATATCTTTGAGGTACATGTTTTGCACTGGCCCTCAAAGTTCTCCAGCAGGGTTAAACTTCAGTTTGAGGTAGCGAGGAACTCCTTGGTACGTATCATTTGTTTAATGGTTGCCTCCCTTTCTTTTTCTGCATCCTCAGCTGAAGCTTCCTGGGACCAACTCCTAAATAAACTTGCACTCAGATACTTCTCCCAGAGTCTGATTCTTGGAGAACCCAAACTAGGACCTATATAATTTGGACTTCACTTTTCCTCAGTGTCTCAGTTTCCTTGGGGAAAGAGGTATAATATAATCTCCCCTGATTTTCTCCCTAGAATGTGCATGATAAGAAAGAACAAAATTTATGAACGTGTTTCAAAAAAAACCTTAAATAAGGGTGCACAGATCTGAGTAGTCAAGTGCACAAGCACACTTGTGGTCCCAGCTACTCAGAAGGCTGAGGCGAGAGGATTTCTTGAGCCCAGGAGTTTGAGTATAGCCTCGGCAATACAGCAAGATCCTATCTCTAAAAAAAAATAGTAATAAAGGGTGTATAGATGTGTAGTATCTTTATTTAAATATAGTCAACATATTTTTTGATGTAACAAATTGGTGAAGTTAGTCAATGCCTCTAAAGCCATGGTTCTCCCCTGGGGAAAACTTTGCCCACTTGGGACATTTGGAAATGTATGAAAACATTTTTTATTGTGACAGCCTGAAGTGGGGGTGCTACTGGCATGTAGTGGGTAGAGGCCAGAGATGCTATACATCCTATAATACAGAGGACAACAAATCCCCACAACAAAGAATTATCCAGTCTAAAATGTCAATAATGCCACTGTTAGGAAACCCTGCTTTTAAGTCCAAAAATTAAATTGATTTATGTCATTATTAGGTTTGTAAACAGAATTGTTTTTGCTCAGAGTTTATGGTTGCTTCCTTTATTCTTTGAGAAATAATTTCACCCCAACCATTGGCTAGAGAGGTCATTGTGGCAATACTCTGAAGTATTTCTCCACAAACATCTTATTTTTCATTGTCACTGCATTTGTCACCGTTTTTGTAGGAGAACTGTAGCAAACCACATTGCCGGTGAATCCCAAAGCTATTCTAACTACACCATAAAAGTCACTATTTTATAATAAACAGAGGTCAATTTACCAACAAAACCAGGTTCTTCTTTGCCCAGTGGAATAGAACAGAGCTGAACTTCCCTAAAATAGTTCCTTTCCACTTTCCCCCAAACTATTTACTTCTAATATAACACTAAAGAAGTAAAATGGGTATCAGTTACTAGAAAACCTGAGCATCTTTACAAGTCTTTCATTGATTTTAATTGTTATTTCCATACTCCACTTTTCTCTTCCTTCTTGTTCCCTCTTTTTCTTTTCTATACTCATTTGACTTCTTCTCAATCATCACTTCAGCCTCATCATCTTTTCATCTTACTCTCTCTTCCTACATCTTTCTCTTCTCTTCCTTCCTGTCCCATCCCTTTTCAACTTTTTTCTCATCCTCAGAATGGAAAATCTTCTAGTTAACTGAGTGGCACTTGCAAGATTTAACTGGCTTTCCAAGCTTATCTGTAAACATGTAAACTTGAGCCATCTGGGCTTTTTAATGTTTCCTGTAAAGTCTGTCACTGCATCAATTGCTTATTTTGACTGTCTTCTCAAGAAGCCATCGTAAGCTAATTTTTTCCTACGGTACTTCATCTCATTTATTAATTGTTTTCTTCCTCTCTAGTGTGTTTTACTCAATGATAGACTGATTTTTTCTTTAACTCAAGTACAACACTCTCCTAATTATTTACTTGGGCTTTTTAAACTTAATTATACCATGGTCTCATATTGTAGAATTATAAAAATATTAACAAGGAAAGGATCTTATGTTAAAGGTCAATTTTTTTAAGTCAGAAGATGAAACAACCTCTAGAAGATTTCCATAATGTCAAAAATTCAGAAACTATTTTTTTAAAGGTAAAAAATATAAGAAGACTTTGACTTTGGTTTTCTATGATAATCCTCTTATTCTTATAGATAAGTATACTTTTATTTATTTATTTATGGTGTCTAACTTAGAATATTTTATTATTTTAATACATAATAATTATACATATTTATGGGTTACAGTGTGATATTACAATACATATATACAATGTATAATGATAAAATCAGGGTAATTAACACATCCATCACCTTAAACATTATGATTTGTTTGTGTTGGGAACACCCAGAATGCTTTCTTCTAGCTATCTGAAAACATACAATAAATTATTCTTAACTGTATTTACTGAACAGTGCTATGGAACACAAGAACTTATTCTTCCTATCTAGCTGTAATTTTGAATCCATTAACCAACCTCTCCTTATCCTCCTGCCCCATCCTTCCCAGCCTCCAATAACCACTACTCTACTCTCTGCTTCTATGAGATCAACTTTTTTAGCTTCCACATATGAGAGAGAACATGCTGTATTTATCCTTCTGTGCCTGGCTTATTTCACTTAACAGAATGTTCTCTAGGCTCATCCATGTTGCCAGGAAGAACAAGATTTCACTTCTTTTACGACTAAGTGATGTTTCTTTGTTTATATACACCACATGTTCTTTATTCACTCACCTGCTGATGTACACTTAAGTTGATTCCATATCTTGGCTATTGCGAATGGTGCTGCAATAAACAGGGGAATGCAGATATAACTTTCACATACTGATTTCTTTTCCTTGAATAGATACAGTAAATCCTCAGTGTTATGAATAGGTTCTTGAAAGCTGTGAATTTGAGTGAAACTATGTATAATGAAACCAATTTTTTCCCACCAATGTTGTAATGAAATGATGTTGAATGAAACAATGTATTTGAGAACTTGCTGTACATCATTTCACTTAAATTCACAATTTCCAAGAACCTATTCATGATATGAAGTGAGGACCTACCAAACCCAATAGTGGATTGGTAGATCATATGGTAGTTTTATTTTTTGTTTTTTGAGGAAGCACCATACTGTTTTCCATAATGACTGTACTAATTTACATTCCAACCAATAGTGCTTGAGTTCCCTTTTCTTCACATTCTTGCCACCAATTATTTTTTGTCTTTTTTATGATAGCCATAGAATTATGTGTTTAAGGTAGGCAGGAAGTCCAAGCAATCTCTTTAAATGTCAACATTTAAGTAATTATGACTTTGCAAGAACAATTCGAGAATAGTTTAGGGTCCAAATACCTCAAAGTTGCAGTCACAATTCAGATCAACTTTGTGTTCTAATCTATGCTACATAGAGAAGGATAATCCCAATTGTAGTAATATCAACACCAATTTATTAGGTGCCTGCTTAATGCCAGGTACAGTGATTTTCGTATCACCTCCCTAATTGTGACAACTCTTTTGCTATCTCATCCTTTCCATCTTCCAGTTTTTATCTTTCTTCTTATCTCTTCTTTCTTCTTCCTCCTCCATATTTACTTTACTTCTTTATTTTCTCTACCAACTTTTTTTACCTTCATCTTCCTCTCCATGTAGCTATTATGATCCACAGTTCTCTGATGAGGAAACAAAGGCACTGGCACTCAAATAAGTGAAACAACTTTCTGGAATCACACACATTGAAGGTGGAAGAGTCACTTCCAACCCAGGTCTCTCCAATGTCTATAATCTTTTTATAAGAATGCTTTTAAAGGATCATGCCTTTCACTTTATTAGCTGTACTTTATAAACTTTGATTTACTTACTTCCTTCAGGCATTCATGCAATACCCTTCTCCCCTAACACATACATGCCTGCAACCCTCCCGCCTTAATTGGTTTGCTTAGGATATTACTAATTCAGTTAGGATATTTTAATTATGAGAGTTGAATTAAGTTAGGTTTTTTTTTTTGAGAATGGAAAACAAATGTATATACTGTACCAAAAACTGAGTCCAAGTTTAATCCCAAAAGTATACCTGGCACCTTTAAGTAAAGAAGCCCTGGATAAGGCAGTTGGGTTGAGATTTACTCTGATCAACCAGGAGGATTAATGACTAACAAATGCATTCTTGTGTGTTCATGAAGGCAGCCTGCCCACATTCTACCCAGGTCTGTTAAGTTCTCCATTTAGACCAATAAGTGCAAAAATGGAAGAGTAGTTTCTGTAATCCATGGCAATAATAGCGACTTTCATTATTATTATATAGTAGAAGAGAAAAAGGTTTTGCATCTGAGAATGCAAGTTCCATTGCAGGGTTCTACTCTCAATTCAACCACCTTGGGTGGACTCAGGAAAGCCCTATACTCTATATCTTTCTCATTTAGAAAATCAGCTACTCCCTACCTTCAAGGGATCTTGTGAAACTAAGGAAGATTGGGTTTCTACAAAGCTGGGCAGACACTCATGGGAGAATGAAGCCACCAAATGTGCTCTTGTAGACTTAAAACACATATTGAGCATATTCTGTCTTCTTATAGGAATAAATATGAGGAACAATTAAGGTATGAATTAAACACTTTTTTAAAGTCAGAAGCCCGTGGCAAGGAAATCCATACAAACAATGAGATTTTGACTGACTTCTTAAAAACAAAGCCAGAAAACAATGGAATAAATTATTAGACATGCTAAAAGAAAATAACTATAAGTCTAGGTTTATACACACAGAGAAAATATTCTATGAAAGTGAAGGTGAAATAAATAGACTTCAAGGTAACCAAAACCAGACAGAATCTGTCACCAGCAGCCTTGCACTAATAGAAATACTGCAGAGAGTTGTCCAAGTAGAAGGAAAATCATCCCAAACAGAAACACAGAAAGATGGGAAGGAATGAGGAGCCATAGAAATTGTAAATGTGTGGGTAAATCAAATGAATATGAATTGTAAAAAAATAATAATAATGTATTATGGTATCTGTATTAGGCTGTTCTTGCATTGCTATAAAAAATACCAGAGACTGGGGTAATCTATAAGAAAAGAAGTTTAATTGGATCATGGTTCTAACAGGTTGTGCAAGAAGCATAGCAGCATCTTCTTCAGAGGAGGCCTCAGAGAGCTTTTACTCATGGTGGGAGGCAAAGTGGCAACAGACACTTAACTTGACAAAAGCAGGAGCAAGGGGAATGGGGAGGTGCCACACACTTTTAAAGGATCAGATCTTGTGTGAACACAGACAGCTCACTTATCACCAAGGGGATGACCCAAGCCATTCATGAGGAATTTGCCCCCATGACAGAAACACCTCCCACCCCAGGCCCCACCTCCAACATTGGGGACTACATTTCAACATGATATGTGGGTGGGAATATCAAACTATATAATTTTATTAAAATAAATGAAAATAAATTGTACCATTTTCCATTCCCACCATGTATGAATGTTCCAGTTGCTACATATTCTCATAAAAACTTGTCATTTTTATTTTTTAATTTTAGCCATTCAAATGTATATATCAGTGTCTAATATAGCATGATTTTAATTTGCAATTTTTCATTGACTAAAATTATTATTTGTACATGCTTATTTCCATCCATATGTTTTCTTTGAAGTTTCTGTTCAAATCATTTGCCCATTTTAAAGTGAGTTGTTTATTTTCTTATTTTTGAATGGTGACAGTGCTTTCTTTATTCTGGATATAACATTTTTATCAGATATGTGTTTTGCAAGAGAAACAAAAACATAGGTCTGGCCGGGCACAATGGTTCATGCCAGTAATCCCAGCACTTTGGGAGGCCAAGGTGGGCAGATCTCCTGAGGTCAGGAGTTTGAGACCAGCCTGGCCAACATGGTGAAACCCTGTCTCTACTAAAAATGCAAAAATTAGCCGGGCATGGTAGCGGGCGCCTGTAATTCTAGCTACACAGGAGGCTGAGGCAAGAGAATCACTTGAACCTGGGAGGCGGAGGTTGCAGGAGCCAAGATTGTACCACTGCATTCTAGCCTGGGCAATGGAGGGAGACTCCATCTCAAAAAAAAAAAAAAAAGTCTATAAAAGGTCTCTACAGAAAGTTTATAGCAGCTTTACTAATAATCAACAAAAACTTTAAACAATGTCTATCAACCAACGAATGAATAAACAAAATGAGATGCACCCACACAATGGAATCCTGCTGCGTCCTAATAAGGAATGAACTACTGAGACATGCAACAACATGCACGAATCCAAAAACTGCATTATGTATGTGGAAGAAATATTTTACTGTGTAACTTCTGTAACTGTTCGATTCTGCCTAGGTGACAATCTGGAAAAAGCAAAACTTAAAAATTATATCAGAGGTTGCCAGGCTGGGATGAGAAAGAATGTTGATCATAAGAGGACACGGAAAACACCTGAGGTATTTAGGGTGATGGCAATATTCTATATCTTGATGTGGGTGGTTAAATGACTATGTTTGTCAAACTTACACAACTATGTACCTAAAAACAGCAAATTTTACTGCATGTAAAATATATTTCCATTTTTTTTTTTTTGAGACAGAGTCTCACTCCATCCCCCGGGCTGGAGTGCAGTGGCACAATCTTGGCTCACTGCAACCTCTGCCTCCTGGGTTCCAGGAATTCTCCTCCCTCAACCTCCCTAGTAGCTGGGATTACAGGTGCCCACCACCATGCCCAGCTAATTTTTTATATTTTTAGTGCAAATAAGGTTTCTCCATGTTGGTCAGGCTAGTCTTCAACTCCTGGCCTCAAGTGATCCACCTGCCTCGGTCTCCCAAAGTGCTGGGATTACAGGCGTGAGCCACTGCACCTGGCTTAAAGTATACTTCAATAAACATGATATTAAAAAAGAGAATAATATAAAACATGACAGTGGTAAATGATCAGGGAAGTGGTAAAATATGAATTCATATTATATGTAATTTATATCAGTACATAATTTATATTAGACACTAATAAGTCACAGACTTAGATATTACAAATATTCAGGGAACTACAAATATTACTGAGTGAAATTAAATAATACAAAATAAAAAGTGAGATAGACCTGGTTCATGGATTGGAAAACACAATACAGTAAGATATAAATTCTCTCCAAACGATGTATAGTCAGTGCAAGTTCAATTACAGTTCTTAGCAGCTTTTTTGTGGAATTTGGCATGCTGATTCTAAAATGGAGAAGAAAATGTAAAAGACCAAAAATCCTAAAAGAAATCCTGAGAAGAATAAAGTTGGAGGACATAGATAGATACAGACTAGATATAGATATAGGAGATATAGATATAGATGTAGATTATAGGCCTAAATGTGAAAGATAAAACAGTAAAATCTCTTGAAGCTAACAGAAAAACATTTATTTTCTTGGGGTGGGCACAAAAAGCTCAAACCACAAAGTAAAAGATTGATAAATCAGACTTCATTAAAATTAAAAACGTGTCACCAAAAGATAAACATTAAGACAGGTAAAGGGAAGACACTAACTAGAAACGGACATTTTCAATATATATATGAGAAAGGACTACTCTATAATATATAAAGAACTCCAAGTCAACTAGTAAAAGATAATACAATTTCTAAAAATGAAAAGTAGACTTGAACAGATATTTATAAAAGAGAATATCCAAACGACCAATATTTATACAAAGATTTGCTAAGCATCACTTGAAATCAGAGAATTGCAAATTAAAGCCACAGTAAGATATTATTGCATACCCACCAGTGTCACTAAAGGTACTCAGTGTTAATGAGGATGTGGAGCAATAGGAAGCCTTATACACTGCGGGAGGAATTGTAAATTAGAACAGCCACTCTGAAAAATTCTTTTCTTTTTCACTAAAGGTAAATATATACATACTCTATGACCCAGAAATTCCACTCCTATGTTTATACTCAACAGAAATGAGTATAACAAAATATATGTGCAAGAATGCTGGCAGAAACTTTATTCATAATAGCCCCAAACTAGAAACAACCCAAATATTCATCAGCAGTAGAATGAATAACTGTGCTGTATTAGAATACTATGCAGCAATGACAAAGGATGTACTATTGATACATACAACATCATAGATGAAACTCACAAACAGGATAGGAAACCAAACACAAAACAGTATTATTATACGGTTTCACTTATATGAGGTTCAGAATAAGGCAAAATGAATCTATGTGGATAAGTGGCAGAATATCAGTCACCTTTCCTTGAAGCAATGGCTAGGGTAGGGCAGGAGAGAGGCTAACAGGGACCTAGGCAATGCTTTTTATCTTGATCTTGGTATTGTTTTCATGGGAGTGGTCACTTTGTAGAAATTTATGAAGGTGTACACTTAGGATTTGTACTCTTTTCTGTGTGTATCTTATATTTCAATAATAACAAATTTACCATAAAATAAAATCCTATGTGTTCCTGGAGGATAAATTGCAGTGCTGTGGAGGATGACCAATGGCCAAACCAACTTGCTACAAAGGCACAATTAGGGTTGCAGATGTGGTATTATCAAAGCAACATTGTTTTGTAAGGTAAATCCTTTTCCCTGCATGTGTGTGACAGCCTCAGAAACAGTGTCTGTTCACATGTTGAAGGACTTTAATTAGTATCATGTATGCAGTATTATTCACAAAAGGATTACCAACTTTTCATTAAAGATATGTTTCTTTTATCAGGGAACTCCCACCAGTAGAATAATGGTAGTTTACTCCTAGTGCCTGAGGACAACCCCACAAATTCTCAAACCTGTTGCTCTTTTCTTTCTACACAATCTCCCTGCCTAGCGTACTAGAATTCCCCCTCAGAATCTGGCTAGTTGGTTTTTATATTTGTTGGCCATTCTTTTTGACATTTTTGTCAAAAAGACATTACTTAAGATTGCCTTTGTGTCTTGCTTCCTTCCAAAAATGCCTCTTTACAGACCAGGAATGGACACCTCACCACAAACAAATAGGTTATGTCCCTCAAAGTAGCTTCCTGGGCTGAGCCTTGGATGCTCAAGTCAAACGATTCATTCATCAGGACCCAGGAAAGTACAAGAAGTGAAGGTTTAGTGGCAGCTCACCCAAGGGTGGTTCACACCTGTTTCCATGGTTTGAAAACAACTTTTAAAGGGATGGTCACAATCTTTAAAGAATCCAAATGCCAAACTTTAAGAGCAGAGCTGAGCTTGCTAACAAACTACAATTAGAAAAATTTCTGGTCTAGGAAGGACACGTAGAGATAGATCATTCAAGTCAAAAGTTCACAATCTCTTTACAGTCACGTAGCCTTTGAAAATCTAAGAAAAGCTGTGGATTCTCTTGCCTCACAACTACATTTAAGATTTTGCACGGAACTTTAGGGTGTGTGTGTGTGTGTGTGTGTGTGTGTGTGTGTATGTGTCATCCAAAAATCTGTTCAACATCCAGACGTTCCACATGAAAAAGCCCCAACGTAATCAAGGCAGGTAAAGAAGGTCTGGAGAGGTTAAGCAGTTTACCTAAAGTGACAAGGGCGATGACCTCAGAACAGGACCTAGAACGTGCATACCCTGGCTCACAGTCCACTACCCATACCACTACTCCAGGGTAAATAAAAACCTGTATTTTTAAAGATATGGTTATTCTGGGGCAGGTTGTGCTGTCTTGAAATACATATTGATTAGGAAGTTGCAGCGGGGAGAAATGGTCTTAAATATAAGGAAAGACAGTCATATTTTCTATTTGGAGTCTAAATTAGTTGCTTTTTTTCATCGTTTTTGTACTAGCTTTAAAACTGGGTGAATGGATGATTGGAAATATAAAATTCCTAAGGATGGGCACTATGTTAATCATTTCCTTCCAGTGTATCCAGATTAATATGAAAAAGAAAAGAAGCCCAAATTTTGAGGACGCCATTATTTGTTCTGAAGTCTTTAATAGAAATAGATAGTAGAAACCAATTTTATTTATTTGATCATCTCAGGCAGTTAGACCACCATGCATTCTTTCCAACTTTAAGCATCCTACCCTTTTTATTACTAGCAAAATGTTGGATATACTCATACCAGAATTGTTGGACATGTCTGTCATTCATATCCTACAATAAAGTAACAAACTCTTAGTTTATTTTCAAGGAAGTACCGTTATATGGGAGCTATGAGATATCCTGTCTTGGGCACCCCTTCCTCCCTCTGTTCACATACAAAGTGGTCATTTTAATAAGAGTTCCTGGTAATGATATCATATTACCTGCGTTTAAAGTGCTTCTGTCTCTCCCTAACCATGTAATGCTGGGCAAGTTAGTTATCCTCTTTGAACCATGGTATCTTCATAGATGAATCAGCAATAATAAACAGACCTACAACATTGCTGAAGAAAAAATGCAATCAGGTGTGTGAAGCAATTAACCCAATGCCTGGGACACAGTAAGGCTGGGTCCATATTAGTTAGTGGTAGTATTAGGAACATCTCAGGTAAAGGCACAGAACCAGAGAGAGAAGGGGAGAAGTAACCAATGCCTGAAGCTGAAGACATTTTAAAGCAGCTTGGCTTGATCTTGATTCAAAATAAACAATGGAGACTCCTTAACCCAAATCCTCTATTTACTTGCAAACAGAATGCATGGGCAACTTTCTACCAAAATGTCTTAATTAAATGCAGTTTCCAAAGGACCTGATTAGAAGAAATCCATTATGCAGCATTAGCAATGGTCATAAGGAAGGACCCCAGTGTCATCCAACCCCTGGGATAATGATTTTCTTCTCTGCTGTAGGGGGTGATTCTTCTGGGGGCTCTACCTATGGACCCAGCAGAGAGCTGAAGCTCAGCTGTTCGTCCAGCCTCCAGCTTCTGAGAAGAAAGGAGCTGGAGCTCATGACTGAAGGACAGGAGAGTCCACGTTTTATAAGCAGAGAACATAGGGGCTTTCTCTGGAGAGACACTGGTTCTGTTTCATGGTCATTGTTCTGGGTTTTATGTCATTTATTTTTCATTCATGCAGCGGATTTCAGTCTTTTTCAGTCTTGCTAGTCATGGCTTAGGCAGTGTTTTTTATTTTTTGCTATAATAAGAGGCTTGATAGGCACCAATTCTCTTCCCATTATTTTAAAAAATAAAACAAGTACTATAATTCTTCTGTGGACCCTTCTGCTGCTTCCTTTGTGCTGCAGGAAATCTACAGTGACTGAGCTTAAATGTCTAGGCCTGGGAGACTCCCTATAGACATCTGGAGGCTGACTCCACTTCTGGTTTCTTGACTCTCCAATGATATTCCAGATGGGGGAGCAAACTATCTGCAGATTGGGTCACAAAATTCCACTCCAAAAATAAACAAAAGGCATCTTGCTTCCTACCTTGAAGTTGAGGCTCAAATTGCTTCAAACAGCCTGTTTACAGATGTGATTCCTTCCCTGATAAGAGCCTCAGAATGTTTTCTGTCCAAGCTGTTTGGGTTCAAGTACAGGGCAAGGCCCAGAAAAGGAAAGCTCACTACATCCCTGCGACCACAGCAAGAATCTGTTTTTCCAGGAGCAGCCACACTGCAATCCCCACCCAGCAGCTTCCCCAGTCCCCAGCACGACTGGAAAAAAGCACACACCCAGATCAATGGACTGCAAAACAGTGTTCGCATTTTTCAACCCCTGTGAGCAATTGTCATCAGCTGTCACCAACCTTCCTTCCACTTCTTGGCTTACAAAAATATGTTAAGATGCCCTCACCCTAAAAAAAAAAATTAGCTCACAAGTTAAATTTAAAACTTTAAACCTTTGCCTAGATTCTGCAAACCCCACAAGCCATCCTACATGCTCTTCCTCCTCTTGAGAGTAGTCATCTATCTGCAAAGAACTATACTTTGAACCTTAGGTAGAAAATTGCCAATATTTAACTGGCTTTCACCCCCAAATCTCTCGTACTGTTAACCTAATACCACAATGGGTTACCAGTGTTTATCTGGAGGCAATGGAGGAGGGATGAAAGAATCTTAAGTGATCATAATTTTCTACTTTATATTCCTCTATATTTTCCAAATTTATTCTACCAGCTTAGATTAGTGTTGAAAACATCATTTAAAAAAAAATGGTTGAAATCTCCATCTTCACTTCCTCAAGATGCTTTGATTCCTCAGGTCCTTACCCTCTGCTGGTTGTGCCTGCCTTCGTTGCATCCCTCACTGAGGCTAGCAAAGCAGCCCTGTGACCAGATTCAGCCAATGTCCCAGATGAACCTGTTGTGACACTTGAAACTCTCATTTGTACACTCTCTCTTCCATACAGCCTTTGTTTTCCTGGTTCTCCAGCCTTCTGTCCACTCTATTCAGTTCCCTTTTCTGGTTCAGTCATTGAACAAATATTTACTGAGCATTACTATATAACCAGGTACTCCTTAGGGCTAGCAAAATTATCATGATCATGACACAATTTTTGCCTTTGCCCACCTCTAAAATGTTGGTATTCCCCAAGGTTCTATCCACCTCTCTTCTTATTTTGTATCCTCTCCCTTAGGCCATTGCTTCCCTTGCTTGATTTCATTCTCTTCCTCAACCTTTATGGTGATGACTCACAAAGTCCCCACTTCTCCTCATCATTGTGCTTCAGCTAAATATTCCAAAGACACCTCAAATTCAATGTGTTCTGAACAAAATTCAACTGCCACCTCCTACTCTTCCCCTACTTTGTTCTTCCTCCAATATTTGTTAGGCAGAGCCTGCCCATCCTATTAGTCCAGCCATGCATTCTAGAGTTATCCTTTAATCCTCCAACTTTGGTAGGTCCTTCCAAAAGTAGAACCTGAGGCCAGAAAATGAGTACAAAGAGCTTACTTGGAAAGCAAACCTAGGAAGCAGGCATGGGAAAGCAAGGAGCATGAGGCAGGGAAAGAGAAAGAACCAATAAAGGGGGCGTGATTGAGTGGATTCCTATTGTGGGTGACTGAAGTGCACCTCCACATAGGACTTTATAAGGAACTATGTGGAATAAGCTTCCAGATGTTCCCACTAAAGGGTGAGAGGCTGCAGCCTTTTTACAGATTCTTATTTCCCAGTGGCTAAGAGTTGCTGGAAGCAGGACAGGAGTTGGGTGTTCCCTGCACTTGCAGTGTGCACAGAAACCATCTACCTACCACAGCTGCAGCTGAAATCAGAAATGAGGCAAGGAAATAGCATAAGAAATGTCACATCTGCCACTTCCCTTTGTCCCACATTTGGTTTCCAACTCCTAATAATTCACCTTCTTAAATATTGTTTGTATCTTTCTCTCCATCACTTCTTAGTTCAGACTCTCACATATTATCTGAACAACTGGAATGACCATCTGACTGCTGCCAAATGAATCTGTCTAAAACCAAGTCTGGCCATGTAGATTCCTGTTTAGCAAGATCATTAGCTACCTAATGCATGGACAGCCTACATAAATGGAGTCCAAATTTCTTTTGATGACATAGTTGGCCCTCCACTTTCTGTCCCATAATTCTTGTTCCTGTTTACTTCCTTCAATTTCACATACACACACCCTTTACCTCAGCTATATTAACCTGTCACTCTTTTTTAAATGTGTCAGGACATTCCACAGTTATTTTTCTTTGCACATGTTATTTGTACTGTGCAGTACAGAGACCTTTTATCCTTCTCCCCAGTGTCTTGTGAAGTCCTTTCAGATCCAATTCAGCATCGCCTCCTGGAATAGTCATCTCCAACTTTCTCAGGTGGCTTCTAGCCTGTTTTCTCAAATACACTCTAAGTTTCCCAGTGATTTTTTTGTTTGCTTGCTTGTTTTTAGGGATAGGTTTCACTCCGTTACCCAGGCTGGAGTGCAGTGGTGTGATCATAGCTCACTGTAACCTCAGACTCCTGGGATCAAGCAATCCTCCTGCCCCAGCCTCCCAAATAGCTCATGCCGCCATGCTTAGCTAAATTTTTTTTTTTTTAGAGATGCGGTCTCACTATGTTGCCCAAGCTGGTCTTGAACTTCTGGCCTCAAGCAATCCTCCCTCCTTGGCCTCCCAAAACACAGGGATTATAGGCATGAGCCACCATGCCCAGCCTCCAGTGATCATTCTTAATGTTTAATTATTAGGGTATGTTTTTCTCCTTGGCTAGACTGTACACTCCTCAGGGCAAATTCCAGTTTAATTATCTTTGCATCCCCAGAATCTAGTTCAGTATCCATGGCAGATATTCAATAATCATTAGCTGAATGAATAAATAAGGCACATATACCTGTTATATGTGGCCAATCTGAGAAAAAAAAAGGTGACTATGTATCCTGGTCATCACCTTGTAATCCTCTGAGGGGTGCTAATTAAGCCTCATAATTTGAGCATTCTACTTCTTCATAATGTTCAGAAGATGCTGTGCTTTATGAAATGCTATAGGTTCAAATGATATAAATTTTTAAATAAGATTTGAGAGATTTTAATATTTAATGGAATACTGCTCAATTAATTTTTAAACATGCTTAGATGAAACCCATCATTATTCTCATATACTAGATATATAAGCATTTCCCTACTTTTCCTTATACATTTGTTTCTAAAGGTTACAAAGTTTAACTAAGTAAATGAAGAACAGAAAGATAATTACATAACTAGAAAGAAAATGCAGTTCCCAATAGGAAAAAGCAAATGAAGGTTGCTTCTCAGCCTTATTTTATTCACTATACCAAAATATTCATATCATCTACATAAGTTTCCAAAAAATTCCCGTGATATAATAATCTCAATGTCACACCAAAGTGGGAGGAGTTTCCCCCATTTCTTTACTGGATATTTAAGATATAACTTTCCAGGTGGAAAGAATAAGGGCAATTTGAATGAGATGTTGTAAGAAATACTAAAGCCCGAAGCCCAATTTTTTTCTGACTACACTGTTTTAATTTGACTCTGGAGAAAGTTTTGCTGGTTGGAGACATATAACCCCAAGTGTGTTGGTCAACTTTATTAAGACTTTTGAATCATCTAAATATAAGGCCCTTGTCCCAGGACCTCAGAAACATCTCTCCAAAACATGCATATCTCAATTAGTCTCCTGTTGAGTCATGAATTTGTGAATTCTAGTAAACTGCCAAAGTGGAGTGAACCACCATTGCCAAATCCACATCTGAATCCCAGAAAGGAGACTCAATATAGAAGTCAAGAAAATATGAAGGGGAGGGTTACCTTCCTGCTAAATAACCCTTGATGTAGAGTATTGTGACAACTACTAAAATAAGAGTTTAGGAAAAACAGCAGGAATATAGAAAACTCAACTGTCCTTAATTCTCCATCATCTTAAATAATGACACGGCCAGTCTCCAACCCAGGACTTGAGACAGTCTACAAGGTGAAAGCACTAAGCTGCCCCGGAGTTGGTACAAATGGATTTCCTCCATGTGCCAGCCAATAGAAAAGCACCACTCACACGGAAAACTCTGGTGGCTCACAGAGGAGTCCCATGGAAAAGATTTATTCTGAAAGTTCCTCCTATGACCATTGGGTACAAAAGAGTCACAGATCCTTCCCTGCTGTTTCCAAAGATTGAGGTAGTTTTGACTAATCAGGCTAAGAGAAGTTTAGACTAGGTCTTGGACCTTGAAGACCAGGAAAGATTGATCATCGTTAGCATGTAGGAAACAGTTAAGACTGCCTTTCCAAATCCCCACCAAAGTATAGTAAAGGATATTTTAAACAGATAAACCCAAATAAGGGGAGACAATAGTAAATGAAATATTTTAACAAATTTTTAGAAGACAGAAGCAGGTGAAAGATGATAACTGACTTCACAGAGCTGAGAAAAATCACAACTAAAATGCCTATAAAAAGGAATACCAGACAGAAGGGAGCAATTCACCCCCACTAAACTGTAAGAGGCATAGCACATACTGATATGGAAGGTGGGGTTCAGATGCAGGTCCAAATGCAGGAGGCATAGGTTTGAATTTGTCTATAGATAGATGGAAATTTGCCCCATACCTGATCCCCTCAATCATTCAAAGCAGCTAAGGGATCTACCTCCCTCCTAATCCCCTAGAGGAGCAAGATGCAATATTCTGGATAAAGAGTAAGCCTGAGAGGAGAACAGGAGAGAGGAGCTGGGTTTATAGATAAGGACATGAAAGCAAATGAGCCATGTGCCCCACGGCCCCTTCCCACCCTGCTCACAGAATGCCAGTCACCAAGTGTTACACCACCAACCCTACCTGCAACCTCATGACAGAACACTGGGATTCTCATTTGGAGAGGCTGAACAGTCCCCAGGAATAATAGCTTCATAGAGATACTTGAGGATCCCCTGGTGGAAAAGCTGGCTCACCTGATTACCTTAAAGTGAATCTCACTAGTCAACAAGCCTGCCCCCACTCCTCACCTACAAAATAACAATCCGCTTGTTAGAGCACCACTTGCATATGAGTAGATATGCAAATGTGATCAGAGAATTGAGAAAATTGAGAAAATCTAACAGAAACAGAGATTCTAAAAAATAAACTGGAGAAAAAAATACCAAAAAAGCCATACTTGTATATTCAGAGAGATGAGACATTATTGTGTCTATTAAAATGTAGATACAATATAATAAAGAAATGATCAAACAAGAAAGATATCTTGATTTTTTAAAGATAATTGAAGAAAATAAAGTGATTATAACATAGAAATCCCCCAGAAAGCATTTTTTTAAGTCAAAGATATGAGAAAAGAGAGAATATATAAGAAAATAAGATCAGTCTAGAACTTGCTACCCGAAGAGTGGTCCACAAACCAACAACGTTGGTAACCCCAATGGCCAAAGTGGAGCAAGTGGAGTAGGAACTAGTTAGAAATACAGATTCTAAGGTGCCACCCAGCTCTATTAAATCAGAATCTGAATCTTAGCAAGATCTCATAATACTGTCCTCCATATACCTTCTTAAGAAAGACAGTGGAAGATGTACTTCATTAAAATGAGATAACAAATCAAGAAAGAGAAAAACATAATGCTAGGCAATAATTGGTGAGGCATTATATTGGACACCTGTATAATTAGGCAAATGATAAAAGAGAAAGAGAGATAATTATTAATTCTACAGAGAAAAGTTTGATGTGAAAGGAAATATAAACACCGTACACTTATTGCCTCAGCAGTAAATAATATTAACATAATAAAAATCCTGATTTAACAAATTCACCAACATTTGTAAAACCATAATAGGAAGATCTTGTCCAAAGAAATGGATATGATGGTGTCAAGAAGAAGAAAACATCAGCCTCCATAATAGCTAGCCAACAGAAACAGCCTAAAATTAAGAGATCCAGAAATAGCACTAAAAACATATTATTTTACAATATAGCATTGAATAGCAGATAAAATAGTATTAAAGAGCAGAAAAAAGCTTTCTCTGTACTAGGACTACAAGCAAAGGTAAATTTGCTAGTTCTTCAAAATCAGGCTTTTAGAATTCAAATATTATTTCATTATTTACTATATACATTACTTACATCAAAATATATTATTTCAATCTATTTAGGACAAGATCATTAAGGTAAAACTACTTTTGCTAAAAGAAAAAAATAATAATAGGTCTAAAGTCAGCAAGCTTCCTACTTAATCACCAAAAAATTATCTGGCAACTAGAACCTGCTTTTGTCTTTTAGTAAACAGCTCAATAAGCTACCACCTGGGGTGATGCAGGAAGACAGAAACATGCTCTATTTTGTGTAATTGCCATGGACATAGGTTAAGGAAGAAGACTAGAAGAGAAATACTGTGCTGACTCATTCAACAAATATTTATTTTGAACTCTGAGGGTGAACCACAAAATATAACGCAAGATCCCTGCTTTCAAGGAACGCATGTTCAATTTCAAATTCAGTATACCCAGATAATCATAAGCAAAGTGGCACATTGTGTGTAATACAGAGAAAGACTGTATGTGCAATGAGGACTATCTGTATTTTAAGACAGGATGTGTGGTGTTGCACAGTCTTTGGTCTCATAACACCATAGTTTTCATCTCAAGTCTATCAGTTAGCTAAAAGACCCTTAAGCAAGTCATTTAACTTCTCTGAATTTCAGTCACTTTATTGACATAATAGGATTAATAATACCATCCCCATAAAGTTTTGTGAGAGTTAAATGAGATGATACATTTAAAGGTACCCTGTAAATTCTAAAATGCTAGACATTTGCTGGGTTTATTATTCTATGCTCAAGCATATAGAGAAGGAATTGTGTCCCTTTCCCACTATTATTTGTATTATTTAAGTGTTTTATACTTTTATTTAAATGGCGAAACCAAAAAAATCCTAAATCATGGCACCTGCCATTCTGATTACAGTAGAAAATAGATGAATATATCAGTAGAATTTTTATTTTAACCTGTGCACTCCTTAAGCACATACAAGATTGACTCTAAGGATACTTGCATACATAGAAAAAGCAGGAAATTTGAAAAGCCCAAATAAAAGTTTATGTTTAAAGGAAAAACTATTTTAGGTCAAAATAAGCTATTAAAATAGAGCATCCTGAGCTTTGACAGAGTGTGCCAAGGTGGCCACTTTTTTATGCACACAGATGGGTTGGTTTGATCCAATTTTGGTTTTCAGAGTGTCTGGGAGTCAGCTTGCTCCCTCATACCTCTTCTTTACAGACTTATAATTAATACCCTTGAAAGGATATATCCAGAGATTACACACTGTATAATTACACAAAAAGAACAACAAAATTTCTTCTTCATTACAAACCCAGCTTTCCAAAAGACAATAAATTTCTGATGTCTTTTGAGCCCCAGCACTCCCAGGCATAGGAAAGCTAAAGGGCAGTGGACTATTTACAGGGTGGTCTTCCATCCTCTGGAAATCACTTTCCAGAGTTAGGGAACCTCATCCAATCAGGTCAAACTGCCAGGATGCTGGCCATCTCACACCGTTGCTGCCTCTGCTCCAGCCAAAAGAACGCGGACAGCCTGGTCCACCAGGCAAGTAAGAGTGTGCTGCCCCATAGGCCAAGCCAGGCCCTGCTTATGTGACCAAGTTGACTTATGTTTTCAGAAAAGTCCTGAGCCAGCTAATTTGGAGGAAGTCTGTTCCTTCAAATCATATTCTGTGCTTTATCTTGTTAATGGCTAATCCCACAAGTAATGGCACAAGCCATTAACAATGGCTACCCCCACACAGCAACCCAATCTCCTTAGTGACTGGAGCTGCCCACTGGCTCAGGGAGGCAAGAAGGAAAAAAGGAACTGAAAGCTAAATTGGGATACTCCTTTCTAATATAATCATGGGCATGCGAAACTTCCCACAGAGATATTATGCTGAGCAACAAATACTTGCTCAACAGACTTGGCTGGGGGCAGTGGCTCATGCCTGTAATCCCAGCACTTTGGGAGGCTGAGTTGGGTGGATTGCCTGAGCTTGGGAGTTCGAAACCAGCCTGGGAAATATGGTGAAACCCCCGTCTCTACTAAAAATACAAAAAAATTAGCCGGGCGTGGTGGCGGGCACCTGTAATCCCGGAAGGCTGAGGCAGGAGAATTGCTTGAACCTGGGAGGCGGAGTTTGCAGTGAGCCGAGATCACGCCACTGCACTCCAGCCTGGGCGACAGAGCAAGACTCTGTCTAAAAAAAAATAGAAAAAAAAGAAAACAGGCTCAAAAAAACAGCGTGTACTAAATGAGTCCATTTATGATAAGTTCAAAAGCAGACAAAGCTAATCTATGGTGAAGGAAGTAGGAACGCAGGCTACCTTTGGAGAGAGGAGCATTAGTGGGCATGATACATGTCTCCTTCTCTCTTCCAGCCTTGTTAAGTAGATACAAGACATCTGGAGTGAGCAATAAGTAATAAATAAGACCAAAATACACAATGCAAACAAGGATAACTTATACATCACAGGGATTCTCAAACTCTTTTCCACCTCAAATACCTCAAACAGGTATTTGAGTGAGAATCCTCACATGGTATACAGAGATTGTGGGATACAGCCACACCCAAATAAGAAGCTTGAGTTTTTCATACTTCCCCAAGTTAAAGCTACAATTCAACTTCCTTCTCATAACTAATCATAACACATCAGCATGTCAGATACTTGGTTAAGGATGTTCAGAGAAACACTGCACCACCTGCCATCACCTTACAACGTATATAATGAAAAGGTGGCTTTCTTTTAAAGTGGATTTATTCCATGGCCTTGTCTTCAGTGGTAGCAACCAAGGAAACTCTGCTGAAAATCTTTAATCCTAATAAGTCAGCCAAAACTGGGCTATTGCTTTTGTTGCCTGTGATGGTTAATACTGAGCGTCAACTTGATTGGATTGAAGGATGCATAGTATTGATCCTGGGTGTGTCTGTGAGGGTGTTGTGAAAGGTGATTAGCATTTGAATCAGTGGGCTGGGAAAGGCAGACCCACCCTTAATCTGGCTGTGTACCATCTAATCAGCTACCAGTGTGGCTAGAATATAAAGCAGGCAGAAAACATGAACAGGCTAGACCAGCTTAGCCTCCCAGGCTACATCTTTCTCCCATTCTGGATGCTTCCTGCCCTCAAACATCGAAATCCAAGTTCTTCACCTTTGGGACTTGGACTGGCTTCCTTACTCCTCAGCTTGCAGACAGCCTATTGTGGGACTTTGTGATCATGTGAGTTAATACTACTTAATAAACTCATGTATATCTCCTACTATTTTGTTACTCTAGGGAACTCTAATACATTGCCTAAATATAATATGGTATGGCCAAAAAGACATGCAGAAAATGTCCAAAAACCTCCCTGTAGCTCTCTTTCCCAATTCAAATGACAACTAGCCCAAATCCACTATCATGGTACTATCCAATTATCCTCTAACATCTAATGTAATTCCCCCTGCTCTAGTAATTCTATAGATAGAATTTTTGATAGGTAGGTAGGTAGGTAGGTAGGTAGGTAGATAGAGGAAATGGCTTTTTCTTAAGCTCAAAAAGTGATTCTCATTTCAGCCTTCCCTTTATGAGCAATCTAAGAAGTGAAGAAATTCACTATAGCTGGTACTCTAGAATGTGATCTGGACCCACTTATGTGTTCTATCATCCTAGATGAGGTTTAAATGACATCTTGTACACATACATGTGACTTGAGCTTCCTTATAGGATGGTGGCCTCAGAGTTGCACAGCTCTCCAAAAGAGAGCATTCCTAGAAACCAAAATGAAAATTTTATAGCCTTTTGTGACCTAGCCTCAAAAGTACAATATTGTTACTTTTCTGTACTCCGTTAATTAAAGAAGTCACAAGCTCACCCAGATTAAAGGGGAGGAGAAATAGATTCCACCTCTTAATGGGAGAAATGCCAAAGGAGTGGCAAATTTAACACTGACACATGCAGGGAAGAGAAAGCATGTTCTAGACCACATTCAGGAGGTATGGCTTAGACACATAAGTTATCCTCTCTCTTGTCCCCAATCCCGAGATTATCACAAACTCAGGGCTGGTGAATCTCCTACTTCTACCATTGAGACTCTTTGTGTAGCTGAAAAATTAAGGAAAGAAGGCAGAAGATATCTTGTCACAAGTGGCGCTGTTATTTATCTTATGGAATTTATTTTGGTGATAGAGAAAAGGACCTGAATCTACAGAAAGATATTTCCCCAAACATTCAGGTGAAACCTGAAGTACTCTTGTTAAAGCTTAAACCCTCACATTCAAACCCCTTCCACTCCTCCCCACCCCGCTGCCCAGAAATATGGTGGTCAATGTTTCCTATTTTAGTACTTACTTTATTGGCATAATAGGATTAATAATACCATCCCCATAAAGTTTTGTAAGAGTTAAATGAGATGATACATTTAAAGGCACCCTGTAAATTCTAAAATGCTAGACATTTGCTGGGTTTTTTATTTATTATTAACTGAGCCCTACAAAAAGATGTGATAATGGCTGAGGTAATAGGGTCATCTGCCTAAAGCGGGGTCCAGAAGCAGAGAGTATCAGAAACACTATACCTTCTGCTTGGTTTTGTCTACAATAGCTCTGAGGAAAGAAATAAGGCAATGAAGCAGAACCATATAACTATATGTTTCAACCTTGTCAGTTCGTGCCATTTCCAATGCTTTGAAGTGGCTTTTCGTAACCTAAACTTACAAATAAGCTTAAGAGTCAAATTTCCCCCTTAGAATAGAAGAATTCTGGGGATCTTTTTGTATTGGGCTTTTCTGAATTATAAAGGTGAATTGAGGGCATATAATTTAATCTTAAACCATGGCTCAAAAAATGCTTTTCTCCCAAAACATGAAACTCAGGAGGTCAGGGAAGGATGGAAGGAAGAATTGGCTTTAAAATACAATTTTCTTTATCTAGTTACCTCTTTAGAAAAAGCCATAAGTATGAGACTAGGTAGAGAGAGGAGGATCAAAGAGAAGTCAGAAATATTATTGTACCAAGCAACCGCCCAAGTGCAAGATGGAATTACACAAACATTAACAGTTGCATTCTTTCTCCAACATTGACAGCTTTCCTAACACTGAAGCAATATCCACATTTAATGGTTGCAGGCCTATGCTTTGGGACTGTGAATTGATGAGTAATGTGGAGGGGGAGAGAGAGAGAGGGGAGGGAGAAACGCAACAGCAAAAGTAACTTATTTTTCTCTTCCTGTCTATTCTTTTACATTAACAAAACTGAAAAATGGGGAAGGGAGGAAAGGGGCTCAAAAGAAAAACAAAAAACAGCTTCACAAATAGCATCTACCTTATTGAAGTTTCCAGACCTAAGATGCAATCCATTGAAGAAATTTTATTCCTTCATTCTTTTTTTTTTTTAGATGGAGTCTCACTCTGTCGCCCAGATTGGAGTGCAGTGGCGCGATCTCGGCTCACTGCAAGCTCCGCCTCCCGGGTTCACGCCGTTCTGCCTCAGCCTCCCGAGTAGCTGGGACTACAGGCATGCGCCACCTCGCCCAGCTAATTTTTTGTATTTTTAGTAGAGACGGGGTTTCACCGCATTAGCCAGGATGGTCTCAGTCTCCTGACCTCGTGATCCGCCTGCCTCGGCCTCCCAAAGTGCTGGGATTACAGGTGTGAGCCACCACGCCCGGCCTATTCCTCCATTGTTAAAATGTCCTGAGTCTTAAAGCCAATTTGCAGAGTGGCTTAGCAGGACCTAGGAACTGTCCTCCCAGGATTGATTTGCAAAGAATGCCTGTCAGTGGAATCTGTCACTAATGTCTAGTTTCTCATTCAGATTCAGATACTTGGACATCCCAAATTAGCTCCCACAATAGCCATTGGGTGCTTGACAATCTCAAAATCCAGTGGCTGAATTCCCCGTGGATTGATTCCAACCGGAGATCCTACACATGATTCTTTGATAAAGGAAGCTGAACCACCAGGAGATAGCTAATAAGGGATATATTACAGAGATTTGATTTACACAATGGTGGGAGCTAGTTAAACAGCCTATACAAGCCTATACTTTCTGCACCTGTTGCTAACATCTAAAGTCAGCAGGGTCAGCAATCAGAAAGAAAGCATGGATGTGGAGTGGGGAGAGCAAAGACAAACTGGAACCAGCAAGGATGGGCTAGAATCCTCAGAGATAGATCAAACCCATATTACTCTCTCATCTCTTTCAAACCTCCACCTTCGATGACAGTGTGTCCTGCCGGACTTCACTCATTATGGAACTGGACTCTCACCGGGTCCAGGAGGTGGGGCAGCTGAGGGAGGATCCACAGGAGCCATAGGAGCTACAGGACCAGCCATGAGGACGAGCCTGTGGATAAATGATGGCATGCATGAGTGGCAACTGCTCCAGGTGCCATCCATAGACCTCCCAAGGATAAAAATAATTTGGCTGTTGCTTCACTTTTGCCTTCCAAATCTTTCACAAAATGTCTCTTGTGTCTCATTTTAACTCAGAACCATGCAAGGAAGGAAATTCTGAGGAATGCAATTTCAGTCATGCCAAGTTGACACAGTACAAATCCACCCCAACTTGATTGATTTTCTAGTATCCACCTGTCACCCACCAAGCTGGCTTCACTTAATTGTCTTCTGTGCCATATGACAGGCAGATCACTTTAGGAGCAATGAGAGTAGAAAAACACAAAGACTGGCAGGAAACAGGAGTGAGGATAGAAGAGATGGGAGCAAGAATTAAGAAGGAAGTGACTACCCAGTGTATTAGAAACAAGAAGAAAGAGGAAGAGCCTCTTGGCTTCTCACAACACAAGAAAATGATAAAATAATCATAGCTAATTAGTTGTCTGGGCTTGGAACAAACACAAATTTGCACAGAACATCTTAACTAAAAGGTTGCTACAATGCCTACAAATCTCCACTCCCAATCTACTATACCATGCCCATTAAACTAAGGTCATCCAGTGAGAAATAGAGGATCCTAGGGTCCTAGTTACCTGCCTTATCATATTTACTGACACTGGAGATCTTATAATGTCACCCAAAACCACATGCCAAGTAAGTATATGATAAAATTTTAGCCTGGGCTCGAGGAAACCATTTAAAACAATTAAACTGAAAAATAAAAATTCTTCTCTAATATTTTGAGTATTTGATCTCATCTTAAAATATAGTCACCAGCTGTATCTACGCCAGTCCCCCAAGTCCAACATTCCCATAATGGATCCCATAGTTAAATTCTGCCTGGATTCCCTGGGGAGCTGAGTCAGCAATCCAGGAAGCCTTAAAAGATAATAGAAGCAAAGCAGAAAGCATCAATGACTGCATTTAGGCTGTGTACAACAACCACTTGGTCCTCATTAGCCTGGGTCCAATTACTCTCAAGATATGGGTCACAGCTTATTTTCATATGTCCATGACACTGTGACTCACGCTCTTGTTGAATTTTTAGGCAGGAAATCACTATCGGTGGTAAATTACTACCAAGTGTCTTCCACTTTATTACCTCATGACAAAAATAGGCAGAAAAAGAGCATCATTGTTCACATTTACTGGCTACTGGCTGTGGTGGGAAAATGGAATTAAAGAAACATGAAGGAAAATAAACCTGGACATCTCTCCTCCAAAAGAAATATGGCTTCCCACAAAAATTAGTAAAATATGCATACTGCAAGATTTAGCCCTCAGGGTGTGTGTGTGTATGTGGAAGGAGTGGGAGAGAGAAAAAAAGATAATGTATAAGTGTGCAACAAAGGAGTTAGAGAACACCCAACACTCTTCTGAGGCAGATAGGTGGACTGGAAGTAATTTCAGAGATGCAGGTCTAAGGTGCAATTGTAACGTGGTCAAGAGAAAATAATCCATTATATTGACTCAATGTAGAGGTTTGAAGAAAGGTAATGGAATTACAAGCTAGTAAATCTTAGATCACGTGAAAAAATAGTTCAAAGTTGACAAGGTCCATCAGGAATACCCAGAGGAGAGGGGATGATATTGGCTTTGTACATACAAGCACTATGTTTCCCTATAATGAAAGAGAGCAATGCTTCTCAAAGTGTGACCCCAGACCAACAGCAACAGCATCGTCTGGGAACTTCTTATAAATGCTCATTCTTATCCTTCTCAAACACATACACACACCCCACACACACATGTTGCACTCTGGGAGTGGGACCCAAATCAACATGATTGTGATCTAAACTAAGATTTGAGGACCACTAGTTTAGAGTGTGTGGATTTACGTTGGCTCAGAAACATTGCTAAGTCTAAATGACACCTGGTTCTGTTTCTGTGGTCTCCAACAAATACCCAGGAGATCATTTGACTTCCCAGATAGTTAGCTTGCTTTCAGGGAACAAGTGCCCTAGCCAGGCTGACTAAGGCATTCCATTCCTCTTGGTGTTATATTTCCCAAGCTAAATTAATGAATTAGCATTCTGATTTTTATAGATCAGTCACCTGTGGCATGTTTCTGGCCTGAGCCAACACCTCTATCCAAAACCTGATGTTCAGGAGCCCTACTGACACCACCACCCCCTGGTGCTTACACAACATCAAAATGAGAAATGGGGAGCTTTTCTGAAGCAGAGTTCCTATGCATCAAACAGAAAAACTATGGCTGCTCTAGTGTCGGCTGGAGTGAGAAGCAAGGACTCTGCTCCCACTGTCTCCCCGTCCTCTAAGACACACTCCCCAGAAACCTCAAACTCCAGGGCCATTTGAAAACTAAGTATCCGAGAAAGGAGAATCTCTCAGGATGGCTTACCAGACCAAACAGGACTTAGGTCGGGCCTGGAAGGATGAGGAGGATAAAGAGAGTCAAAGCGGACATTGTGGAGGGGGGTTGCAGAGGAAGTAAGGATTCTACCTGTTCAGAATAGAGGGCAACCATTGGGCAGTGAAGGAAATCAAAATATTTCACCCCAAAATATATTTCCTTGACATATTTTGAAATGGCTGCTGCAGGGCCAGTAGACTGAGGTGGGGAAAATTTGTATTCATAGAGAATCCTCATTAGTGCAGCCAGGCCTTCTCTTTCTAGGACTTTCCCAGATTTAGGAGTGATTGAGAGTCTGACACCTTTAAGTCTGAAGAGTTTTCCATCTATTCTCTCTAAGGAATTCTACCTGTAAGGCTTCATCTATATAACAAGACCACCTTTGCTAGTCAAGCCTCTCTCTTTTTCCTTCCTGTATTAGTTCATTCTCATGTTGCTAATAAAGACATATCTGAGACTGAGTAATTTATAAAGGAAAGAGGTTTAATTGACTCACAGTTCCACAGGGCTGAGGAGGCCTCAGGAAACTTACAATCATGGCAGAAGGCAAAGCAAACATGTCCTTCTTCACATGGCAGCAGTAAGGAGAAGTGCTGAGCAAAAGGGGAAAAAGCCCCTTATAAAACCATCAGATCTCATGAGAATTCATTCACTATCACGAGAACAGCAGCATGGGGGTAACCACCACCATGATTCAATTACCTCCCACCGGGTCCCTCCCATAAAACAGGAGGATTTGGGAACTACAGTTCAAGATGAGATTTGGGTGGGGATACAGTCAAACCACGTCACTTTCCTTAACCTGCCTTGCCACTAAAACATGTTTTGGGCCACGTTCTGAGCCCACATTCTTTCTATAACCTCAAGGTGGTAGATAAGACTCTATACTTTATTGGGAGGTTGGGTCTTCATTCTGAAGGCTCCTGTGTATACACATTCAAAAAATTAGTATGTCTTTTATTAATCAATCTGCCTCACGTCAGTGATTTTTTTTTTTTTCTGAGACGGAGTCTCGCTCTGTTTCCTGGGCTGGAGTGCAGTTGTGTGATCTCAGCTCACTGCAGCCTCTGGATTCAAGCGATTCTCCTGCCTCAGCCTCCTGAGTAGCTGGGATTACAGACATGCGCCACCACGTCTGGCTAATTTTTTTATTTTTAGTAGAGACGGGGTTTCACCATGTTGGCCAGGCTGGTCTCTAACTCCTGACCTCAGGATACACCCTCTTCAGCCTCCCAAAGCCTTGGGATTACAAGCATGAGCCGCCATCCCTGGCCACATCAGTGATTTTTTCAGTGAACCTTCAGAGGGTCAAGCAGAAAGTTCTCCCTTGGACACAGCAGGGACCAGACACAGAGTTGAAGGAAAAGTGAGGCAAAGATTTGAAGGATCTTAAACTCTGCATGGGAGAGTTCAGGTTTGAATCAGTTATCAGGGGGAGCCCATGTAAATGTCTGAGGGGACAAGGGAGGGGCAGGCAGACCGGCTTCATCACTTAGTAATCCCCACGAAGTTCCAAGGATGCCATGATGCTGGTTAGCAAAAAAACATCTCACCACGTGATTGCAGGAAGTTCTTGTTGGGATGTCTTGAACCTGAGCATCCCCCTAAAAATGTATTTAGTATTTATGCTAGTAACTCCATCATGACCTTGTTAACAAAAACCACCAAAAAAGAGTTGACTTTTTTTAATCTAAAAAGGAAAGTTAGAAAACTTTGAAAGGGCTATTGCTAGCCTCTGGCAGTGGCCTCATTCACAGGTCATGTGGAGGTCTTTAGTGCCTCACACCACCACAGGCTGTTTGGCATTGGGCAAGTTACTGAACCTTTCTTTGTCTGATTTTCATCAACAAAATAGAAACAATATCATGTCACAAGGCTGTTGAGTTACTGGAAAGGGGTCCCGATCCAGACCCCAAGGGAGGGTTCTTGAATCTGGGCAAGAAAGAATTTGGGGCAAGTCGACAGAGTAAAGTGAAAGCAAGTTTATCACAAAAGTAAAGGAATAAAAGAATGGCTACTCCATAGACAGAACAGCCCCGAGGGCTGCTGTTACCTATTTTTATTGTTATTTCTTGATTACATGCTAAACAAGGGGTGGATTATTCATGAGTTTTCTGGTAAAGGTGTGGGGAACTCCCAGAACTGAGGGTTCCTCCCACTTTGAGACTATATAGGGTAACTTCCAGACATTGCCATAGCATTTGTAAACTGTCATGCCACCAGTGGGAATATCTGTTAGCATGCTAATGCATTGTAAAAATGTAATGAGCAGTGGGGAGGACCAGAGGTGACTTTCGTCACCATCTTGGTGTTGGCAGGTTTTGGCTGGCTTCTTTATTGCATCCTGTTGCAACAGCAGGGTCTTCATGACCTGTATCTTATGCTGACTTCCTATCTCATCCTGTGACTAGGAATGCCTAACTTCCTGGGAATCCAGCATAGCAGATCTCAGCCTCATTTTACTCAGCTAAAGATGGAGCTGCTCTGGTTCAAACACCTCTGACAGTTGTGAAGATTAAATGAGAAAGGAAACACAAAACATCTAGCTTGATACCTAGTAGAGATTCAATAAATGTCATCTAAATCTAAATATGAAAATTCTAGAGACAAAATACAAGATATGTCATACCTGAAATTTTCACAATTCTGAAGAAAAGAGAAAAAAGGTCAGCATTCACTGCCACATTACAGCGTGGAAATTATATCATGCTTAACCATAGATATTGAAAAACATCTGGGGAGCCCAGTCATTTCTCCAAAAATTATCATTTTTATGGGCATATTCAGCTACCAAAAGAACAGTGAAGTCCATAGCAGAGCAGTGGTGACTTCACCTCCACTTGAGCTGGGTGCGTCCACAATGAAGGAACACTGACCAGTGCTAAGTCAATGCAAAGCCCAGTCCCACAGGAGCAGGTTTGTTGCCTTCAGGTTCCCGTGGCAATTATCTGCGATTGGCTTTCTTGGGTGGCTTGCTTTGTACTGCCAGGATGAGCTCATGGAAGAGGGAGGTCATTTGAATGTACCCAGCACCCCTAGGTAATTAAAATCCCAAAGCAGATGAGAGTGCTTGATTCCACAGACACTAGTCAGCACACCGTGCCTTCATCAAGGAGTTTTTAGTTTTTTTCTTAAAACGGTTGGTGGAATGCTAACAAAACTGAGCAGTCCCCCCTAAGTATCCGAAGCTGAACTGATTCAGGTGATGTCCAGATCAGGAGAGATGCAAACACATGACAAAATCCAATAGAAGTGGGGCCAAAGGCAGCTTAATGAGAAACATGAAATGAAATGGTAGCCTTACTGTGCAGAAAAATATGAGGAGTAGCTACTGTTTGGGGCACTCTTACAGAACATGAGCACCATTCATCAGAGGTCACAGGCTGGCATGGCTGCAAAGATCCTGGCAAATACTTGACTGCATGGCTCATCGAAGTCTATCTTCTCTGCATGCACATTTACTCCACCTACTCCTTTCTTCTCTATTTGTTTAAATTGCCAAAATGGCAAAACCATAAATTGTCAAACATATTTTTAAATGCTTTTTTGGTGCTGAAATTATGTTATGTGTATTTCCACAAAAATTACTTGTATAATGAACAAAACTACTACTTTTCAAAATACCAATCTCATGTACAGTGACATTTATCCCCTTTGTTTTAAAAAAGATTTAATTCTTTCATTTCTCCTCCAGTGACTCTGAGCCAATATTGTTTCTCTATCTGACATGCCTACTTCCTTCTTTTCTGCTAGATTCTCCCACATTTTAATGCCCAGTAAAATTTCACAATTAAAGCCTTTGTTGACTTTTCTTATATTCATAAATATTGCCTTTCTCTGAATCCCTTACCCATTTTCCGAAGTGTGTTCCACAGCACATTAATTTAATCCCCTAGTTTAATTTTCCTGTTTAATTCTCTAGAAGAGTTTTGTAAAGAAATACGCTTGATAAATGCTTCCCATTATACCCAACTTTAGACAGCCACAATTCACAGTTGCACATTAAGGTCTCTGAAAATTCTTTTTCTGATTCTCCCCCTTCTTATTTGATATGATACACAGTACTCAGTACCATCCAAAGAGTAAACTAACAAAACTCTCTTTAAAGAAGAGCAACACAGTTGAAACTCATTCCTCTAATAAATCCACTTTGGCAGATACATTTGTTAGAAATTAGCAGATCTTTGACTTATTGAAAAGTCTAGCAAGACAAAGAGGTTGTTAGTGCAAAATAAAATGTATAGAAAATTACAAATTTGTTTGCTATCACTGTGAACACACCAAGAACCCTGAGGGATGCTGCGATGTAAGGACAAGCTTCATCCTTATTCTGTTTGCAGAGCATAATCACATATTAGCTTATATAGTTAACTGTCTTTTCATGGATATGTTAGGAAAAAAATTTTCTCCCAATTTTTACCTTGGTTGATAAAAGAGGAACTTGGAGTCATGAGAGGTAATGGGAAGACAGTTTCTTCACTCCCTCTACTCCCGCTCACTCCTCTTCCAAGGGAAACAGAGTGACCATCTATCTCAACAATGAGACTCAAAGACTTGTGATCCCTTCTGAGATCTCTTTCTGGGACCAACCTACTTGCATTATGTGTGCTCCCAGTGGAGAGTAATCTCACCGAGATAGGGCTTCAGTGTCTGCCACTTGTGTCTACTGAGTAAGACTATGAGTAAAATTAGGGAGCTAGATTGTGTTAATAACTACATGGAGCCATGTAGTTACAGCCTGGCCAGCAACAAAACTGATATATTTTATCCTAAACTTAATTCTGTATTTATTTCTCAACTAGTTCAGAATCTCAAGGAGGAATGTATACAGTTAAAATCCCTAAAATAAACCCCAACAAATATGAGAGCACAGATCTTCTTACGTCTCTCTATCCCCTCACAGAACATGGCCCAGTGTCTTCCACCAAGATGGCACTCAATACGTATTTATTCAGCCAATGAATAAGTAGTTAAAAAAATAGTATTTCTTATTAATGTCCACCCCTCACCACATCTGTGAAATGGTACCTGCTTCTCAGTGGCCCCAAAATGTCATGAAGTGGCAAAGAATGGAACAAAGACACAACTTCAAGTATTTAAAGACATGACCAGCAGAGAGAGGTTCACAGTGAAAGCTAAAAGAACTTTCAACTTTCTACGAAATTTATTTTCTGACTCTCTTTATCTGGCTAGATTTCTAAATAAGTTAAAGATCTGCTAATGACTGATAAATGTGTGTGGCAGGCCAATTGGAGGATTTGGGTATCTTTGTCAATCCTAAAATCCGAGACCTTCAATTCAACTGGGCAGTTGGCACAGAACAAGCTTGAAGACAATGAAAGGACAATTTTTCCCTAAAACGTCTAATCCTACTCCACCATAGTGCCAGAAATTCCTACCACTAGGGACAGCGTGCTAGGTTAAAGCACTATGTGTATCCACATAGATTACAGACAAATGAGCCAGCACTTAGCTGGTAGTATACTCTGAAAAAAAGGAATGTAACTGAAAAGGGAAAGGTTTTCAGAGCATAGAAAGAGTCAGTGGTAGATACAGTACAATGTTAGGTGCTCTGGAGCCAGACTACCTTAATTCGGATCCCAGCTCTATCGACTACTAGCTCGGTGACTTGGGGCAAGACATGAATCTCTCTTCACTCACTTTGCTTATCAGTAAAACAAGGCTTGGTGAAAAATAAACGCAGCAGAGCAGAGCCAGAGCAGAACAGAACATGCATGTGCTGTGTGTTACTAGAGAGGAGACAAGGCAGCACGAGTTACTCTTAGCAACAGCAGATCAGGGTGGCATCCTAAGACACTGAAAGCCAGGAGAGGAGGCAGTTGACTCCTGGGAAATTCACTAGAAAGAAGAAAAACATAATAAAAAAATATCAAAGACCTCTGCCATGTTTTTGTCAATTGCAATCTGTTGAAGCTTTTCTGTTGTCAGAAAATAAAGAAAAACTGGGGACTAGTCCGCTGGCTTTCCAGAACTTTATTTCAGCTTCTTTGTTGTAGATAAGAATTTAGATATCATGCACTCCATCCAAAGAGATTTGATTCTTAAGAAATCATCATGGACTCATTTATAAGCCAGCCCCATTAAACAAAAATTTGAGCACTTAACATGTGCGAGACAGTTTTCTAGCTTTAAGAAAGACAAGGCAGATCCCGCATCAGTAGTAAGTCCATTATGAGTGAGGTCCAGAAAAGAATAAGGAAAGTACATCCAGAACTAAAAAACAGAAAATTATAACAATAGCAAAAGTTAAACTAAATATCTAAGTGAATAAAATAATTTTGCAAGGGTTGACAGCTCAAAAAAAGGAATATACCTTTCCTAGAAGCATAATATGCTTTCTTGCAAAGAATATGCCCAGCTCTAGAACAGCACAATTAATGGAGTATTGTCATAAAGCTGAATGAATAAAATTGAATCCCAGTGCCAAGCACAGCACCTGGTATTGAGAAGGTGCTCGGTAAATCTTTGCTTAAAATTGGCACAAATAATATATATGTGTGTTAAGTGTCAAATAATATTTAGTCTACAATGATTAGACATAATGTCATAAGATCTTAGACTTCCAAGCAAGACAAAGGCTGGCATTAGGAACAGAATCCAGGCTGCGCCTCTAACAAAATAAACGTAATGTTCCAAAGACAAAAATTGTAATTGGACTTATTGTTCAGGAAGTAAAAAGGATTTGCAGAAATTCTTACTCATAGTACCCTAGTTTGGCTTCACTTGAAGGCAGACCTTGAGACAAAGACTTCAGTTCAGTTAGTTTACATGGGAAGTGATCCCAGGAACTAGAATAGAGGAAGTGGAGAAAACGAAAAAGGAAGGAAGGAATGCTGATAAAGGAGGCATTGTTGAAGTTACTGCTATAGGTAAGGGAAATGATGCCACTAGGACCTCCGAAGAAGCATTCCAAATGCTTCCAAGGATTGTTTACCTAAGAGATGGAAAGCCGGGGCATTAATCCTCCTGCCACCCTCCCCTTTGGCTAAGGTTTGACCCCAAGGGCACTAACTCCACATGCTGGGGCTTCGCTTGGAGCTGCCAGGTGTGGGAGAAGGTACTGGGACAGTAATCAGCTACACACCTTGAAGGAGAACACTGACAGCTGCAGGAAGGGCCTGCCACAGCTGCAGCTAAAATTCAAGGCAAGCTAAAGGGATGTGATGCAAGCAGCAAGGGTGGTCTCCTAGAGTACCTTTTCTGTATAGCTTTATCAATAATCTAGGTTATTCCACAGATAATCATCAAAGGTCATTGGATCTTTGACGTCAAAAACAACATCAAAACTCCACCCTCTGCAAATGCCCTTTCTTCCTTCTTAGTGTAATAGTCCCTTCCCTCTTCAATATGCTGCTTATGATTCTTATTTTCCCTTTTTTTTAACAAAAATAAGCCCATTATATGCTAACATGAACATATGGTTCATAAAAAAATGAACATTTTCTTAAAATCTGTGAGAAGAGTGGCACTGTTTTACCTTTATTGTAAAACTCTTCAGTGTTTTTCCTTTTTCTTCTTTTTTCAACTTGTATTTTAGGTTCAATGGGTGTATGTGCAGGTTTGTTACATGAGTAAACCGCATGTCTTTGAGGTTTGGGTTACAAATGATCCCAACACCCAGGTAGTGAATATAGTATCCAATGAGTAGTTTTTCAGCCCTCAACCACCTACCACCTTCCCCATCTGGTAGTCCCCAGTGCCCAGTGTCTATGGTTCCTATCTTTACATGCATGTGTACACAATGTTTAGCTCCACTTATAAGTGAGAAAATGTGGTATTTGGTTTCCTGTTCTTGCATTAGGTTGCTTAGGATAGTGGCCTCCAGCTACATCCATATTGCTGCAAAGGATGTGATTTCAGCCTTTTTAATGGCTGCATGGTATTCCATGCTACAGATGCACCACATTTTCTTTATCCAACCCACTGTTGATGGGCACCTAGGTTGATTCATGTATTTGCTATTGTGATTAGAGTTTCAATGAACATACAGGTGCATGTGTTTTTTCAGTAGAGCTAATTATTTTCCCTTGGATAGATATCCAGTAGTGGGATTGCTGGAACAAATAGTGGTTATATTTTAAGTTCTTTGAGAAATCTCCAAACTGATTTTCACAGTGCCTGGACTATTTTGCATTCCCACCAATAGTATATAAGTGTTCCCTTTTCTCCACAGCCTCCCCAACATCTGCTTTTTTTTGACTTTGTAATAATATCCACTCTGATTGGTATGAGATGACATCTCACTGTGGTTTTCATTTGCATTTCTTTAGTAATTAGTGAAGTAAGCATTTTTTCATCTTTGTTGGCCACTTGTATATATTCTTTGAGGAGTGTCATTTCATGTACTTTCCCCTTTTTTAATTTTTTTGGCTTCTTAAGTTCCTTATAGATTCTGAGTATTAGACCTTTGTCAGATGCATGGTTTGAGAACATGTTCTCCCATTCTGTAGGCTGTCTGTTTACCCTGCTGGTAATTTCTGTTGCTGATGATTCACATTTTCTAAGGAGCTTTCCAAACTAAGTTTACCCAGAGCAACCCATCTGCTTCTAGAACATCTCTGCATCTACTTTGTGTATGTTGTAGTTTACTTAAATAGCATGGGTTGTTGTTACCTGGTTTGAATTTAGGGGAGTCAAAGTATGTCGCCTAACACAATATCTGTAACAAAAGCATCTTCCAGCAATGCCAGCCAGCATGGCAGATTTTAGTACAATTTTCTTCCATCAGTATATTAGTTAAGTTAGCATTGTATGTCACAATGAATAAATGCACTATGGCTCAAACATGACAGAAGTTTATTTCTCGCTCATGTGAAGTGCAAAATGACAAGCAGGCCGCATGCTTCTAAGACATGCTGGGTTCTGGGCAACCAGGGACCCAGCTACTTCTATAATATTGCTCTGCCATCTTCAACATGTGGCTTCCAACATCAGAGGACTCCACTGCATTCAGAAGAAGGCAAAAGAGTCCAAGAGGATGACACGGAGGAGGTTTTGGTGGACCTGCTCATTCCATTGGCTAAAATTCAGTCAAAGGGTCTCACAAAACTACAAAGACGGCTGAGAAATAGAAAGCAAATGGTCTTGATCAACAATGGGCTGTGGTCAGTCTTAGCCACAGTGCGGTTTTCTGACTTTTTGTCAGAACTCAATGTATATTTTCTTTATGTGCTTGATTTTACTTTTGCTTCATTTGAATGCAACTCTGAAACTCCGAGACTGGAATACTCTCCAGACTCTTCCAATCAGAGCTAAGGACGACAGGGCCCTAGTTAACCTCTGTTAACACACTTTTCACATCTTGTATGACTGCACCACTGGATTGCGAGCTCTTCGGTTACTTCAACCATATCATTTTCATTTTTGAAAAGTTAACCATGCCAGGCATGCAGAAACACTTATTAAAAGTTTATGAATAATTGAATGAAAGAATTTTGTCTGTCACTCTCTGGAGTTATTTGTACAGCCCACTGCTGATATCCGTTGAATGTTACTTGTTCTAAGTAAGACATCGTCATATCGGTATTATTAAGAAGTAAGAGTTCATGTCCTTTGTAGGGACATGGATGAAGCTGGAAACCATCATTCTGAGCAAACTATGGCAAGGACAGAAAACCAAACACCGCATGTTCTCACTCATCGGTGGGAATTGAACAATGAGAACACTTGGGCACAGGGCGGGGAACATCACACACCGGGGCCTGTCGTGGGGTCAGGGGAGGGGAGAGGGATAGCATTAGGAGATATACCTAATGTATATGATGAGTTAATAGGTGCAGCACACCAACATGGCCGTGTATACATATGTAACAAACCTGCAGGTTGTGCACATGTACCCTAGAACTTAAAGTATAATTTTTTAAAAAGTATTTTTTATTTCTTCAGTTAAAAAAAAAAAAAAAAAAAAAAGTAAGAGAAAAATTGAAAGTAAGACCACATCTGAGTTCTTCCACTGGGCCTTTCCATATTAGTGTACCCTTGGCTTCCAGCTCAGGCCATTTTTTTTTTCTCTGCATGTGCAGTCTCCCTATGTAATCTCATTTATTCTTTTATCAGTTATTTATTGCCACAATAATGCACCCACCACTCAAAGGCATATGACAATAAGCATTTTTTTTTCACTGCCCTATAGGTTGTCTGAGCAATTCTGCTAACCTGGGCCAGGACTATTTATTATCCAGTGGATTTACTCCTGTCTTAGCTGGAAAGTCAGCTGCAGGCTAGCTGGTCTGGAAAGGTCTCAGCTGGGATGACTCCTCTCCTCTCTGCTCCACTTGGTCTCTCATCATCCAGAAGGCAACATAGGTTTGAGTTTGTTCTCATGACAGAGGCAGGGGTTTGAGAAAGAGAGGAAATACCAAAGCTTGTTTTTAAAGGATATAACCTAGTTCAAATCACCATATGAAAAAATTTTATAAAGCAAAAATAGCCAGAAAATTTTATTCTAAAAAAAAAGTGCTGAGGGGAAACTAGCCCTCAGAAATTAAAACATAGTGTAAAGCTAGAATCATTAAAAGAGTGAGGATCAAGTGAACAAAATAAACACTCAGAAACAGAGCCAAATAAAAGTAGAATTTAGTTCATGATAAAGATGATGTTTCTAATTAGTTTTTCCAATATGGTCTCTTCAGTAAAAGGGGACTTCATAAAACAAACTAGCCTTCTGGAGAAAGAATAAGACTTCATCACTGCATCACATTTTACAATAAAATTCCAAATGGATCCAGTGTATAAACATTAAAAGGTAAAAAATAAAAAAAAATAGGTAAGATTTTTATAAATATGTCAGAAAATCTGAACTCACAATAGATTGATGTATTTAATCACGTAAAAAACATTTCTGCATGCTAAAAACAAACTTCATGATCAAAGTAAAAAGAAAAGCAACAAATAGGAGGACATATTTCCTACTCATGACACTGAAAAAGAGCTGATTTCCTCAAGAAAAAAATAAGAGGTAAAAAAATACAAATACAAGGTGTGCAAAAAGAAAATACAAAAAAAATTTCAACCTCATTCATAAAAAATGAAACACCTATTTTCTTCCCTCATATCGGCAAGGATCAAAAAGTCTGATATCATTGTGTTGATAGAGTACGTATCAGGGGTCACCAAAGTTTTTTTTTACATAAATGTTATTGTGTTTATTTGCGGTTTACAACATGTTATGGGATACATATCCTTAGTAAAATGGTTTCTATAGTAAAGTAAATTAATATATCTTTATCATCTCACAGTTACTTTTCTTTGTGACAAGAGCAGTTAAAATCTACTTAACAAAAGAACCCAATATAATTTTATAAACTGTAGTTCTCATGTTGTTCATCAGATCTTTAGACTTGTTGATGTCACATACCTGTTTGTCTCCTTTGACATCCATCTCCCCATTTTCACTCCTCCAGCCCCACAACCCTGGGTGACCACTCTTTTCTTCTCCATCTCTATATATTTGTCCTTTTTTTGTTCAGATCCCGCACATGAGTGAGATCATGTGGTATTTTTCTTTCTGTGTCTAGCTTATTTAGCAAGATACTTAGCATAGTATCTTGCAGGTTCATCCTTATTGTGAAAATGGCAGGATGTCCTTCTTTTTAAATGCTGAATAATATTCCATTGTAGGTATACACCACAGCTTTTTTAAAATTTTATTTCAGAATCGGGGGTACATGTGCAGGTTTGTTACATGTGTACATTGGGTGATGCTGGGGTTTGGGTTTCCAGAGAACCCATCACCCAAATACTGAACATACTACCTAATAGGTAGGTTTTCAACCCACACTCACCTCTCTCCCTCCCCTATTTTGGAGTTCCCAGTGTGTATTGTTTCCATTCGTGTCTACATGTATGCATCTTTTTGCTCCCATTTACAAGTGAGAACATATGGTATTTGATTTTCCATTTCTACAGTAATTCACTTAGAATAATTACCTCCAGCTCCATCCATGTTGCTGCAAAAGACATGATTTCATTCTTTTCTACAGATACATAGTATTCCATGTTGTGTATGTACCACATTTTCTTTATCTGATCCCCTATTGATAGACACTTAGGTTGATTCCATGACTTTGCTATTGTGAACAGTGCTGTGATAAACATAATTTTCCTTTTTTAAATGTAGTTTTGTGATTTAGGAGTCAATGTTATTTGGAAATGTTTCAGGAAATGAATTTGGAATTTTCCTTTTTGTAAAACTGTGCTCTGAAAAGGTAAAATAATATTTGATGGCTTAAGATTTGGTAACATTCTCCTGTGAAAATATCTGAACCTGGTGCTTTCTGTTGGCAAATTCTTTTAAAATGTAAAATAAAAATCTGATGGCAATTGGATGGCAAATGCTTTTAAAATGTAAAATAAAAATCTGATGGCAATTGGATGGCAAATGCTTTTAAAATGTAAAATAAAAATCTGATGGCAATTGGATGGCAAATGCTTTTAAAATGTAAAATAAAAATCTGATGGCAATTGTGTGTATATTTACTGGGGCCAGTGTTTGTAAATTGTATTTTTCTAATAACTTATTCATTTTTTAGCTTTTCAATTTGTTTATAGAGAATTGAGCAAAGTAGTTTCCTATTCCTTTAAGTTCCTCTGTTTTGATGACTATTTGCATCTTATCATTTCTAATTTCTGTGGATTTACTTTCTACTTTTTCTTAACTTGTATTTTGGTTTCAAGGGTGCATGTGTAAGTCTGTTACATATGTAAGTTGCATGTCACAGGACATACCGCAGTTTCTTTATCCAATCATCTGTCAATGGACACTTCCATTGCTTCCATATCTTCGCTATTGTGAATAAGAGAAAACTTTTTCTGTAAAACACCAGATAGTAAATATTTTTTACTTTGGTGGGGGCACATGCTCTCTGTTGCATCTACTCAACTCTGCTGTTTGAAAGCTGCCATAGGCAGTATAAACAAATGGACCTGACTGTGCACCAACAAAATTTCATTTACAAAAATAGGCAGCCTTCATTTGTTCACCCCTGGGTAGCTAAACGAGCATTCACATAAAATGCAGGTGGCACTTTAAGTCAGCACCACCTTTGTGGAAGGTAGTGTGGCATTACACGTCAAAGTTCAAGTGCACATATATTTTGACCTAACAATCCCAAGTCTAGGCCAACAGCTCATAGGTATTCTCACACATATGTCAAACAATATAACAGCAAGGATACTCATTGCAGGCAAAAATTGAAGACAGCCTAACAGTCCACTCATAGGGCCTGGCTGAACTAAATCTGACACATCTGTACTGTGGAATCATATTCAACTGTGAAAAACAATAGGGAGGCCTCAATTACTAATGTGGAACAATCTTTAAGGTATAAGGTTAAGTGAAAAAGCAAGATGCTGGACAGGAACATATCTATCATTTGAGTGGTTATAAACGTTCATACACACATGTATTCATAAATGCATGAAATATATATCACTGGAAGGATACTCATGAAACTCTAAGAAAGCTGCCATCTAACGAGAGGCACTGACTGATGGGGGACAGGGCAAAAGTGACACTAACTTTTCACAATATTAATATTTTTGAACTCAGAAGTCTGAGCTATGTTCTCCTGTTACTCATATAAAAGTTAAATACAGGGGCCGGGCATGGTGGCTCACGCCTGTAATCCCAGCACTTTGGGAGGGTGAGGTGGGCAGATCATGAAGTAAGGAGTTCGAGACCAGCCTGGCCAATATGGTGAAACCCCGTCCCTACTAAAAATACAAAAATTAGCCAGGCATGGTGGTGCACACCTGCAGTCCCAGCTACTTGGGAGGCTGAGGCAGGAGAATCTCTTGAACCCAGGAGGAGGAGGTTGCAGTGAGCCAAGATCGCACCACTGACTCCAGCCTGGGTGACAGAGTAAGATTCTGTCTCAAAATAAAAAAAAAAAGTTAAACACAAATGAACTATATAATATACTTAACATAAATTAAATATAAATGAACTCTCACTCAGTCAGGATTGTTTAATTGTAGATTGGCAAGTTACATGGTGAAAATGAATCTCTGAAAAAAAAAAAGTGCCCAAGAAACCCATATTCCAGATCGTTCTTGCCTAGGCTTTCTTTCTCAGGTCTTATTCTTTTAACTTCAGTCATTAAGATCTCTTACTGCTTTTGTTATCTCCAAGGCTCTATTTCTCTTTTAACTGATGCACCCAGGGTGTCTGAGTCACCCAGCCTTGCCTTCTCTGCCCTTTCTTGCTGAGGGTTCACTTGAGGTAAACCGGTCACTAGGGTTCCTTTGTCAAGTGGAGTGGGTCTCAGCTTGCTGGCAAATGCCAATGTCAAAAACACAGGTCAGGCAAGGCCACCACTGGAGGAGCAAACCCTGGCCAGACTAGCTCCCATCAATCACCTGATTGGGAAAGGACGTCTTTCACAAGTCTTCTCGCCCACCTGGCTCTAGTTTGAAAAGGTTGGGATGGAATCAATGAGAAGATCATCATGGGAACAACGTCAGTACTCCCTTAATGACCACAGAGACAGACATGATTGTTGGATGATGACACTGTAAGGGCAGCTGATGAAAGAGTGCTAATGTACATTCAACTCTACCACCCCAAAGGTTCCACACCTTAGCACCTGGCCTCATGTAGCCATGGCCCCACCCTGAGCCACTTCTCCCTTTCCCCCAGTCTTCTCTATTAAATGCAATGGCCCACTCTTTGTAATTTATTGAGGAAGGAGAAGCATAAGGTCTAAAGTCAAGTACCCCGGTAGCGCAGTCTGAGGCAGGTATTTATTGGGCATGAGTTCTCAAAAGGGGAGTGAGGGAAACAGGGGAGGGAATGAGGAGGAGCTGAGCGAGGATGTGGCCTCAGCTGGAGTCTAGCCTCAGCCTGGTCCCATGGGAAACTCTGGAGCACAAATGGTACCACAGAGTTAGACTCCTTTATGGCTTCACACTAAAATGGGAAGGGAAAGACATAGTAAAGGGGCTTCTATTTGACTGACAGCAATCCTCAGGAAAAGCAGACAATATACACAGCAGCCAGGGAATACGTCCTCAGTCTAGTAAAGAAAACCTGGCCATGGTACTAGCAGCATCCACTGCATTCCATGTGCCTTTGCATGACTAATGAACCTTTGAACAGTTGTGGACAGCTGCTCTGACAATGAGTTTCCAAGGGCAAGTCATGGATCCACCATCCACAGTCTTTGTCCATCACATAACAAATGTGACGCTTGATTAATGCTATAGCAGGCATTATCCAAGAGTTAGCAGCCTTTGCATAAAGTAGTAGTTTGCTAGGGCTGCCATAACAAAGTACTACTGAGTGGCTTAAACAATAGATATGTATTGTCTCATAACTCTGGAGGCTAGATGTCCCAGAACAAGGTGTTGACAGGGCCATATTCCCTATGAAGCCTGTAGGGAAAGGATTCTTCCTTGTGTCTTCCAGCTTCTGGTAGCTCTTGATGTTCCTTAGTTTATGACAGCATAACTCCAGTCTTCACATGGCATTCTCCCGTGTGTGTGTGTGTGTGTGTGTGTGTGTGTGTGCGCGCGTGTGTGTGTGTCCAAATGCCCCCTTTTTATAAAGATACCAGTCATAACGGATTAGAGGCACACTCTACTCCAGCATGACCTCATCTTAATTAATTATAACAACTCCGTTTGCAAATAAAGTAACATTCTTAGGTACTAGAGGTTAGGAGTTCAATATTTGAATACAGGGGGTCAGAGAACACAATCTCTCCTATAACATGTAACTATGCAATCATATTAGTGTTTTTACCCAAGAGTTTTGGCTTCTTCTCTAGATCTGTTCCTACTATACATCCTTCTGCCTCAAGTCTGTGACCCATTATTTGATTGTAACCCCATGTTTAGCCTTAATTAGAATAACTTAACTATGTCAATTCTAAGTTAGGGCCCAAACCAGTCCTTCTTCTGAGTGATGGTAGACCTACCTCTGGCAGAGACACAATGCAAAGACTCCTCCCATTTGGAGCTTCCATCTCGGTTTGGTCATTTTCTGGTCAAACACTGAGCAGAGAAACCATCTTCCTGAAGATAAAAAGCTTTATTCTTGGAGGTATGGAAGCAGAGGGAATGAGCTCTATAGAACGTCTTTGGCAAAATATTTGCTTTGTTTGTTGATGTTTCAATAACATCAACTATAATGTACATAAAATGTTTTATTAAGAAAAAAATATGAACTTTGAAGGACCATGCAGAAGAGTAGATTCATATTCCAATATGTTGAATATTGAAAGAAAGGGAACATAGGCATGAATCATCATTGTTTCTGGCTACTCATCAAAAGGTCAAATGAAGTCACTGGAGGCACACCTGTGCAGAGGTGCACCATTAAAACTTCTCTCTGGAGAGAAATGCTAGGGAGGTATATCAACAAGTCTTAGGAGAGTAGGCAGCAGATTTGCTATGGATCACTAGTGGGTAAACAAGAAGGCATGTGTGCACATGATAGTCATTAAATGACAGGCAAGAGTTACATTTACAAGTGAAATGATAAAGTGGCCCCCTCTAGTAGATGATGTCTGTGTCCATTCCCAGCAGCCTTCACTTGGTCCTACTCTCCAGCCGAGTGTTTTCCTGACCCCGGTTTAGACTAACATCTCATGCCGCCATCCAGGCCAGAGAGTTGCTTCAGTATCAAGGTGATGTCACAGGTGCCTGACAATTAGGCCACCTATTAACGTGTGCCTGTCTTGAACTTCCTGACCCATCATTTGTCCCTGACCTCTGGAAACAGTTCACACCTTGCTCCCACTTGCCTGCCCAACCTGCTGGCTGAGCTAACCTAGGCCTTTGATCTTCAACACTGTGTTCTTACAACTTGAAGTTTGGTTTCAAAGCTGGACTTCCAGCAGACTAGCCACGCACGTAGAAATAAATGTCATATACTACTTCTTCAAGACTTTAAAGAACAGTCTCAGGAATTAACCTTCTATGTACGTATCCACACCTACAAATAATCAGTACACCAAATTGTGTTTTATAGATGGGATAGATTGGTTGCATTAATGGTTCCAATTCTTCACACCTCCCTGTATCCACACCCTTTGTAACATTGTACTGCAACTCCCACTCTGGCTCTGAGCTGGCCAAGTGTCTTGATGTGGCCCAGGGGATGTTGGCAGACATGCTACAGAGGCTCGAAAAAGCACTTGCATGTTTCTACTCTTGCTCTTATTCCTCTGCCATTGCCATGAGAACATTCCTGGGTTAACCTGCTAGAAGGTGACACACAGAGAGAAGATCTGAGCTGTCCTGTGCTACTCATCCCTGCTGAGGCCATCCCAGGTCAGACACAACCCACAGACCCCCAGGCATGTGGGCAAGTACAGCCAAAACCTGAGGAACCACCCAGCCGATCTGCAGATTTAATGTATCTCATCTGGGGACACAAGTTTTAGATGGCTTGTTATTAACACAATAGCTTACAAAATATCTTATTACACACAATCCCATTCCACAGTAATAAATCCACCAGAACATAAACTCCATGAGAGAACATTCTTTTCTGTTCTGCTCATTGATGTTTCCAAAGTACCTAGGGCAGTGCCTGATACATTGTAGGCTTTTAATAAACATTTATTGAATTAAGGAAAAAATGAAGAAAAATAATAGTGGTATTAGTAATAACAATAGGCACAATTTATGTAGACTTTATTATGTCCTAAGCACTCTTCTATGTTTTTAATAAACTGTTTCATCTTATTCTTTTCTCAACACTGTAAAGTAGCTATTATTTATTCTATTTTAAAAATGAGTGAATTGAGGTTTAATGTGATTAAGCAACTTGCTCAAGATCATATATCTCAAAAGTAGCATATGCAGCACTCAAATTCAGGACCACTTCAATTCAAACTCCATATTATGCAAAGAAAATGCAGGGGATTGAAATATTAAAGCTATTTCATAGGTACAGCTAGAGAATTTGAGTGACTTGACCAAATTTTAAAGCAATAGATCACAAACTGGTCCCACAACCTTCTATACCCAGTTTCTTCTCAATAATCATAAAATTTGGAGTGAAATAGTATAATTCTGAGCATTCCTTACAAGAATATAGAGTTATGATCAGAGAATTTGATGAAAGCAAAATTAATAAAATAAGGCATATACAAAGTAGTTTTTGTACAGGCTAAAGCAAGACATCCATATAAACCTTAACTGATATTGTTAATAAAAGTAACAAGGAAGAAAGACTGGATCCAGGTGGAAATGAGGATACTTGTCTTCTAATTTTCCTCCTACAATGACAAAACCGAGATTTTAAGGAATGTAAATGAATAACAGCAGAAATAACCAATCAAAAAGGGTCTAAGGATGTATTAGTCAGGGTTCTGCAGGGAAACAGAACCAATAGAATGAGTGTGTGTGTGTGTGTGTGTGTGTGTGTGTGTGTACGTATGTGTCTAGGGAAAGAGGGAGAGAGATTGATTATATGCAATTAGTCACATAATTATGGATACTAGTAAGTCCAAAAGCTGCAGCATGGGCTGGCAGGCTGGAGCTGGAGGACAGCCCGGGAAGGTAAATACAGTTCCTCGCTAAAGGCAGTTGGCTGGAGAATACCTTCCTGCGAAAGGATGCCAATCATTTTGTTCTAGTCAGGCAATCAATTGATTGGATGAGCCCCACCCATATTATAGAGAGCTACTTACTCAAAGTTCACCAATTTAAATGTTCATCTCACCCGAAAATACCCTGTAAGTTAACATATAAAGTTAACCATTACAAGGAGGTAAATATTAAGTGAGAAGTTCTGAAGAATTACTAAAAAGGAAAAGGACTAGAAGGACAAAGAAGCATAAGAAAGGAAAAACACTGCCCAAATTATACGAAAGACATCATTAAAGAGAACCCATAGCATTCATCGAGGCCATTAACTAAAGGCAAGCTATTGAAAGAGCTGGATCAGTCGGACTCATCTCCCTCCCTCCCCTATACACATTAAGGGTTCACCTCCTGGCCTTGGGGATCACATTCTAAACAAACTGAACCCTGGTAAGGGATCTTAGTGTGAATATTGGGTCTGAAAATAAAGGTGCTAAATTACTTCAGACCTTTACAAAGACATATAGTTGCTTATAGTAGCCTCTAATGATCCTTTGAATTTCTCTGGTATAATTAGTAATGTCTCCTTTTTCATCTCTGATTTTATTTATTTGGCTCTTCTTTCTTTTTTTCTCAGTTAGTCTGGCTAAAGGTTTGTCAATTTTGTTTTATCTTTTCAAAAAATAAACTTCTCATTCCATTGATATTTTGTATTGTTTTCTACTTGGCAATTTCATCTATTTCTGTTCTGATCTGTATTATTTATTTTCTTCTATTAAATTTGAGTTTGATTTGCTCTTTCTTTTCTACTTCTTTAAGATGCATTGTTAGGTTGTTTGTTTGAAGTTTTTCTACTTTTTTGATGTAGGTGCTTATAGCCAGAAACTTTTCCCTTAGTACTACTTTCTCTGTATCCCATAGGTTTTGATATGCAAAAATCCCCAACAAAGTCCTAGCAAACCAAATGCCACACACATTGAAAAGATCATTCATTATGCATTCAGGGATGCAAGGATGTTTCAACATACACAAATCAATCAATGTCATACATCATACCAACAGAATGAAGGACAAAAACCATATGATTATTTCAATCGATGCTGAAAAATCATGTGATAAAATTCAACATCCCTTCATGATAAAAAATAACCCTCAAAAAAACTGGATATAAGAGGAACATACCTTAACATAATAAATGCCATACATGACAGACCCACAGCTAGTATCATACTGAATGGTGAAAAACTGAAAGCCTCTCCTGTAAGATCAGAAATGCAAAAAGGATGCCCACTTTCACCATCATTATTCAACACAATGCTGGAAGTCCTACCTAGATCAATCAAACAAGAGAAAGAAATAAAGGGCATCCAAACTAGAAAGGAAGAAGTCAAAATTATCCTTGTTTGCAGATGATATGATCTTATTCTATTTGGAGAAATGTAAAGATTTCACCAAAAAACTACTAGAACTAATAAATGAATTTAGTAAATTTGCAGAATACAAAATCAATATATTAAAAAAGTATCATTTACATATGCCAGCAGTGAACAAACTGAAAAATAAGAAAGTCATCCCACTTATGATAGCTACAAATAAAATAAAATACCTAAGAATTAACCAAAGAAGTTAAAGATCTCTACAAGGAAAATTATAAAACATTGATGAAAAAAATTGAAGAGGACACAAAAAATCGAAAGATACTCCATGTTCATGGATTGGAAGAATGAATATTGTTAAAATGTCCATATTACCCAAGGCAATCTACAGATTCAATGCAATCCCAATCAAAATACCAATGACATTCTTCACAGAATATTTTCTTACCCTAAAATTGATATGGAAGCACAAAACACCCAGAATAGCTGAAGCTATTCTGAGTAAAAGTACAAAACTGGAGGAATCACATACCTGACTTCAAATTACACTAGAGAGTTATAGTAACTAAAACAGCCTGGCACTGGCATAAAAACAGACACATAGACCTATGGAACAGATTGGAGAACCAAGAAACAAATCCATACACCTACAGTGAACTCATCTTTGACAAAACTGTGAACATACATTGGGGAAAGAACAGTCTATTCAATAAATGGTACTGGAAAAACTAGATATCCATGGGCAGGGAAATGAAACTAGATCCCTATCTAATCATATTTAAAAATTGTGTCAAAATGGTTAAAGACTTAAATCTAAGACCTCAGACTACGAAACTACTGTAAGAAAACTTTGGGGAAACTCTTCAGGACATTGGACTAGACAAAGATTTCTTGAGTAATAATACTTCACAAGCACAGGCAACCAAAGCAAAAATGGACACATGGGATCACATCCAGTTAAAAAGCTCTGCACAGCAAAGGAAAAAATCAACAAAGTAAAAAGGTAACACACAGAACAGGAGAAAATATTTTCCAACTATTCATCTGACAGGGGATTAATAACCAGAATATGTAAGAAACTCAAACAACTCTATAGAAAAAATCTACTAATCCAATTTAAAAATGGGCAAAAGATGTGAATAGGCATTTCTCAAAAGACATACAAATTAGCAAACAGGTACATGAAAAGGTGCTCAACATCATTAATCATCAGAGAAGTACAAATCAAAACTACAATGCAATATCATATCATCTCAGTTAAAAATGGCTTTTCTCCAAAGACAGGCAACAGCAAATGCTGACTAGGATGTGGAGAAAAGGAAGTCATCATACACTGTTGGTAGGAATATAAATTAGTACAAACACAATAAAGAACAGTTTGGAGTTCCTCAAAAAACTAAAAATCGAACTACTATATGATCCAGCAATCTACTCTAGGTATATAAGCAAAAGAAAGGAAATCATATTTTGAAGTGTTATCTGCAATCCCATGTTTATTGCAACACTATTCACAATAGCCAAGATAAGGAATCAACCTGTGTTCATCAACAGATGAATGGATTTTTAAAAATGCGGTACATATACACAATGGAGTACTATTCAGCCATACAAAAAAGAATGAGATCCTGTCATTTACAAAAACGTAGATGGAACGGGAGGTCATTATGTCAATTGAAATAAACCAGGCACAGAAAGACAATCTTTGCATGTTCTCGCTTATTTGTGGGAGCTAAAAATTAGAGCAATTAAACATAGATAGAGATATCTATCTATTAAATTAAAGATAGAGAATAGAATGATGGTTAACAGAGCCTGGGAAAGGTAGTTGTAGGGGCAGGAGTGGAAATAGTTAATGAGTACAAAAATACAGTTAGATAGAATGAATAATACCTAATGTTTGATAGCACAACAGGGTTAATACAGTCAACAATAATTTATTGTACATTTTAAAATAACTAAAAATGTTTAATAAGATTGCTTGTAACACAAAGAAAGGATAAATGCTTGAGGTGATGGGTAACCCATTTACCCTGAGGTGATTATTACACATTGTATGCCTGTGTCAAAATATCTCATGTACCCCATGAATATATACACCTACTGTGTACCCACAAAAATTAAAAATTAAATCTAAAAAATCTTACCCAAAGTCAAATTCTTAAAAAAAAGGACATTTGCAGCATATATGATTGACAAAGCATTGGTTTTCATGACATATAAAGACTTTTTTTAATGCATACAAAGAAAAGATAAGCAACTCAACGGAAAAATCAGAAAATCACTCAAACAGACACTTGGAAAAGGAAATATAAATGGCCCATAAACATATAAAAAGTTGACTGACTTTATTAGTAATTAAGGAAATAAAAACTAAATGCAAACTGAGATACCACTTAATACTCATAAGATTAGTAAAATTTATTAAATTGGAAAATGCCACGTGTTGATAAGGATATGTAGCAAAAGAAAATCTCATACACAGTTGGGCAGAGTATAAGAGTGTCTTTGAAAAACAGTTTGCCATTACCTAATAAATTGAACATTTTATTCTCTAAGACCCAGGGTATTGTCAGGGTGAGTTAACTTTGTAATAAAGTTAATAAATAAATTTCTAAAGCTACCTCAAATATTAGAAATTTAACATAATAAAAGTTAATCCCTTGCTCACGACATGGGGGAAGGGAGCAGTATACTAATCCACATAGTCATACACGGAGAGAAAGTAAGGATTGCTGCATGGACATTTTTATGGACCAGGACTAGACACGGCAAATATCAGTCTGCTTATACGTTCCATTAGCCAGAACTCAAAGGCCTTGTCTAACTACAAGGGAAGCTGAAAAACTTAGTCTGTATTCACAGGAAATGAAAACACAGATATTGGTGAGCACTAGCAAATTCTGCTACCCTCAGAAGTTCCATTTCCAGCTATTTACCCTAAAAAATTTCTCCATAAATATTCTATTACATACATTATAAAAGTTCATAGTATAATTGTTCTTAATGACAGAAGAAAAAAAACTGAAAACAATCCAAAAGGCCATCAAAAATAGAACAGGATAAACTCATAATGAAGGAGAGAGTAGGAATGATTCTAGGTGCAAACTGCTTGAGAAGGCAAAGTGATAGAATAGAGGATTGGTCTAAGATAGGAGCAGGAATGCCTCTTGCATCACAGTAAATGAGGAGAGAAGCAAATAGACTGGCAAATTCCATATTTACAAGATGTACTCTCATGCAAATGTATCTAATTTCTCTATAAAATATGAGGCAAATTTGCAAGCTAAGATGCAGTGAGGTGGGGACGATGAAAAGAAGCTACAAAATAGTCATCACTGAGAACTGGGAACTAAATTCACCAGGGATGTGTAGCAGAATTGTCTGGAAGAACTGAGTGCACCTTTGAGATTTGTGGTCATAAGTTGAAGTGAGTCCAGATGACAATACCATTTGATTTTCTCTAGTTATGTTCAGCTGCTTGAGCATAAGGAGGGAATGAATGGACAATTGGGCTTAACTCATGGGCAGTTTTGCAAAGGAATATGACAGAGAGAACAGAAGCATCAAAAATGTTCTCATGGGAATGATTATAATTTTATACCATGAAATCTGAGTTGGACAAAGGCAGAAGTAAGAAGTTGAAGGGGGTAATAGATGATGCAAAATAACAGATGAATGGGGCCCTGAAAAAAGGTGACATGAGAAAAGACCCTGAAAAAAGGTGGCCTAAAGTATGGGAGATTTTAAATTAAGATTTAAGTTTTTGTCATCTATCAAGATTTTAAGTGTACATAGACTTAGCCAGCACAGGCCACTTCTTGAAATGTATCATACTGCAATATTCACACACGTAAAAACCAAGTATATAGTCAGTTGTAAAAAGTTAGAAACAACCAAAATGTGCATGATAGTGCTTCTTGGGAAACCTTCCAAATAAGCTACTTGCCCTCACTTCCTCGCCTAATGGGTCACTTCTGGAAACACCCAAACTGAGAACCCCTGCAAGGGAACTTACCTCCCTCTGTTTTACTCAGGAAGATTGACAGTTACATTATCAATTGCCATACTTCCTTTTTCACTTGGATTGCTGAGAGAAAGGCTTCCCCTGTTCCCTGACAGATATTTTACAAATTAACTATCATGCAAAACTTCTAACATAGGCCGAACTATAGAGACTGTGGAATAGCTCATAATTGGATTCCCTTCCTTAGTCCTAACTTACATAAATTATTTCAATGGGATAAAATGGGCTCAGCCTTGCCAGGCCATACTCTCCTAATGACTTATCAGATCTATACTTTTACAAAGGAAGTATTTTCACATAACAAACAACCAGACTGTGGTCTTCTGAGGTAGTGTTGTATGAAGGTTCCATGCTATAGTGGGCAGCGCTGAAGAATCAGTAGAATGCTAACAATCTTTCCTAATAAAGACAGGAGAGTTGAAGTTCTAGAGAAAGTCCAAAATGGGCAGTGGAATCTCACAAACATAGGGAAATATGGATGAATATATGAGGGAACTTTTGGAGGAAGGAAGTCACAGGCATCTTTGAAAGAGGCATGTGAAAGTCGACAGCATATGAGGTTATACAAAGTTAACCAACAGTATGATGCACAAGAGAGTGAATGCCAACAGAGAAGACAAAAAGCACTGAGTCCAGGAGTACTACAACCTTAAGAGATCAGAGGAGTAAGGAGGAGCCAGCAAAGGAGACTGAGAAGAAGCAACAACAAAGTAGAAGATAAAGCATCAGAGTGTAGTGTCCTAACAGTCAAGTGAAGAGTGGTGTTGAATGATGCTGATAGGTCTAGTAAGATCAAGACTAAAAATTGACCACTAGTTTTTAGCAATTGCTGTCATAGGTGACTTTTCTTGTACTTTTAACCTTGACAAGAGCAATGTTTGTGGAATAGTGAAGGTGATTGCATATATTTAAGAAAGAACAGGAGGAGAAGAACTGGAAACATCAAATGTAGACAACTCTTTAAAATAATTTTTCTGCAAAGAGAAACAGAGAAAGTATTTAGTGAGAAGTGGAGACATGAGAAGGGCTTTTCTTAGGATAGAAAAATAGGAGTGCAATTATATGCTGTTGAAAATGATTCAGTGAACTGATGAGTCAGGAAATAGATGGGAAATTTTGTAGAGCAATGGAGTAAGATTTGGTGTTTCAAGTGAAGAGTTTGGCTTCAGACAGGAATGTGGATAATAAGTAGACTAATGTGCAGAATGAAAAGGATGCAAAGGCTGGGGGTAGATAATGTGTACTGGTAGTCTGTGGAAGTTCTCTTTTAATTGTCTTGGGAATTTAGATTCAAAACAATTTTACTTAAATTTCAAAGGACATGATGGCCTCAACTGACTTCTTCATTACTTCACATATCTGATTGCCATGTAAATATAAAAATGGTGGCATATAATGGTTGTCAAATATCTAGAAGACAAAAGGTAATAAATTGAGATGGTCTTCCTTGAAAAATAATTGACAAATGCAAATTTGGTTGTTTGATGAGTGAATAATAAATCCCCACTGTAGCAATTCAGTGGAGAAAGGAATTGCCTTTCAGCAATTGGTGCTTAACAACTAGATAAATAGGTAGAGAAAAAATATGAACCTCAACCCCTACCTCATACCATACATATAAATCAATTCAAATTGTATTGTAAACCTAAATATAAATTCATATGATACAATTGTAAGAATTGTATCATATGAATTTAAGGATACAATTGTAAGGTTATCTTCTCTATAAGAAATTTAAGGATACAGGACGGGCGCGGTGGCTCACGCCTGTAATCCCAGCACTTTAGGAGGCCAAGGCAGGCGGATCACAAGGTCAGGAGGTTGAGACCATCCTGGCTAACACAGTGAAACCTTGTCTCTACTAAAAATACAAAAAAATTAGCCGGGCATGGTGGCGGGCACCTGTAGTCCCAGCTACTCGGGAGGCTGAGGCAGGAGAATGGCATGAACCCTGGAGGCAGAGCTTGCAGTTAGCTGAGATTGCACCACTGTGCTCCAGCCTGGGTAACAGAGGGAGACTCCATCTCAAAAAAAAAATAAAGAAAGAAAGAAAATAAAATAAATTTAAGGATACAATGAATTTAAGGATACAATTGTAAGGATATCTTCTCTATAAGAAAATATAGGTGAATATTTTCTTAAACTTAACATAGACAAAGATTTCTTAGGACATATAAAGCACTCATCATAAGAAACTTATAATTGGATTTTGAAGTTATTAATTTGTACTCTTGAAAAGACATCATTAGACTGTGGAGAAAAGGAACACTTACACACTGTTGGTGGGAGTATAAACTAGTTTAACTATTGTGGAAAGCAGTATGGCAATTCCTCAAAGAGATGAAAACAGAACTACTATTCAACCCAGCAATCCCAAGGTTTATACCCAGAGGAATATAAACCATTCTACCATAAAGACACACGCACGTGAATGTTCATTGCAGCACTATTCGCAATAGCAAAGACATGGAACCAACCTAAATTCTCATCAATGAAAGATTGGAAAGAGAAAATGTGGTACATATATACCATGAAAAATTATGCAGCCATAAAAAAGAATGACATCATGTCTTTTGTGTGAACATGGATTGAGCTAGAGGCTATTATCTTCAGCAAACTACACGGGAACAGAAAACTAAATACCACATGTTCACACTTATAAGTGTGAGCTAAATGATAAGAACTCGTGAACACAAAGAAGGGAACAACAGATACTGGGGCCTACTTGAGAGTGGAGGATGGTGGCAGGAAAGAGAGTAGTAGAAAAAATAACTATTGGGTAATAGGCTTAATACCTGGGTGATGAAATAATACATACAACAAACCCCCGTGGCACATTTACCTATATAACAAACCTGCACATGTACCCCTGAACCTAAAAGGTTTTTTTTTTTAAAAAAAAAAAAAAAAAAAGACATTATTAAGAAAAGTAAAAGGCAAGTCGTAGACTATGTGACAGTAATCATAATACACACATCTGGCAAAGAACCTGTATCCAAAATACATAACAAATTCCTATAAATCAATAATAAAATGTCAAACAATCAAAATGTTTAAATAGACAAGAGGCCTGAATACACACTGCACAGAAGGTGATATATGAATGGCCAATAAGCACATGAAAAAGTGTTTAACATCACTTGCATCGGGGAAATTCAAATTAAAGCCATAAAGAGATGGACCACCACACCCATCTGAGAAAGGTGAGGATTAAAAAGAACAAAACTAAAGGCTGATGAAGATATGGAGCAACTGGAACAGTCATGTATGTTCTCCCCTCTCTTATGATTCATCCTTAGTGTGGGCTGGGCTGCCCACATGTGCAGTGCCTTCCTGACCCTTAGGAGGTGAGCACGTGCAATGTGTTTAGGAAGTTGTATGCATCCCCATCTGAGGCGTTCTTCCCTTTTCCAGTGGAGTGTCCCCCGGAAGGTCATACTTCACCATTTTGTCTCTTAATGTGCATGCCCAGGAAGTTGCTTCCCCCTCACATCTGCATTCATTTAACACAATAATGTTAACAGCTATGGATCATCAGGAGACTGTCTCTCCCTGGCACCCTGGTGCCAGCTGCTGAATTATCATTTTTATAGAGACAGTGTGATAGTTGTCGAATGATCACCTGACATTCCTAGCGGGCAGGGGAAAAGAGCCCTCTCCTGCCCCGCTTATGCCTGTCTGACTACCTGTAACAAAAGCAGCAGAACACTCACCCTGAAAATAGAGGAAGAGGCAAGATGCAGATCCAATCATACCGAAGAAATAGGAGAGGACAGTCCATACCTCCATGTGTGGCAGGACATATGAGTGGGAATGTGAGGGATACAGAGGCAGATAGAGATCAAATCTCAGTTATGTCACTTCCAAGGTGTTTAACCGTGGGCAAGTTGCTGAAGCTCTCTAATACAGGTTCCTCAGCATTGTTAAAAGAAAAACTTTAGACAAATAAATTTAACAACAGAGTTTAATTGAGCAAAGAATAATTCATGAACTGGCAACCCCCACCACCTTCCAAACAGGATAGGTTAAGAGGGACTACAATATTGCTGCATAGTTGAAGATGATTTATGGACAGAAAAAGGAAAGTTACATACAGAAAATGGAAACGAAGTACAGAAACAGCCAGATTGGTTATGGCTCCACATTTGCCTTATGTGAACATGGTCTGAATAGTTGGCCATCTCTGAGCGGTCAAAGTGTGGCTGCTGGGATTGGCTGGGATTCAGCTACTTTTTAAAGAGTAGGTTACAGTCTGTTTACAATCCAGGTAGGCTATAGATCACTATGGAGAATGTTTTAGGCTGAAGTTGCAAAGGAGGCAGCTTTAGGCTAGATTTAATTTAACAGCATAAAATATGATGACTAATGACCACCTATTTGGGTTATGGTGAGAATTAACTGAAACAGTATAAGACTTCACAAACTGTAAAACTCTACACAAATAATAGTAGTTGCAGCTACTTATATTGGTAATATATTGGATTGAAAACTGGGGAGGGATGAAAAAAGAAAATCCTATATATTATGAAGTGCCACACACAATACAAAATATAAACAAATGTACTTAATTACTAAAATAATATATGAGAATAAGCAAATTAAATTTCACTCATTGTCACTCCATCTTTCTTCCTCTAGGTGGGAAGGACTTCAAAATGTAAAGATACTCCATAGACTAAATCCCTTCCTAAAAGGAATTTTGTTTTGAACTGAAGGGATCATAGAAACAGTGTTTTTGCTTTTACATGCCAATTTTGAATGTGATCTGACACACACCCATCTATAGGGTGCAGTGACTTACTAGTTAATGAAATGCTTCAGGATAGTTCCTAGGTATGAGCTACCCATCGATCCATTCAGCCCAGAAGTTTTGCTCCTAGAATGTCTGGACTGTGAGCCAATGATCTATCCACTTATGAGTTCTGAAATAACATCTTCCCTGATTTGATAGGGGAAGCCATGTTTCTTTTTCAATAGCACACATTTCATGGATTAAGAATGGCTGTGGAACTGTTTTAGCATGAGAAATGATTAGAAGTTGTCTTTTCTCTCAGAATATTGGCACAGTTGACGTCAGATTTGGAACATGCAGCCTCAAGAGGCACTTCATCATTATCTAGAACAGTTAGGATGCTCTATTAATACATCTCCTGATGCACAGCACATAGCCAGGATCTGAGTGTGTCAAAAATGTGATCTCAACCCTACCAGAAAATATGGATGAGTATAACTTTTCAAAATCAATTATCTCCTCACTTCTGTATTTTCAGTCTGGTCATACTGGAAATATATTTGCCAAAACACTGATGCATAGTTCCATATTTTCAGAATAAGTATAGACATAAAACTTTAGAAGAAAATTTGCTTTAAAAGAAAAAAACTCTGATTTGCAAACTCACTCCTATCTGTTCAATGTCTTCTCAATCTCTATCAGTCTTTTGACCTTCTCCAACTAATAATATTCTACACCCTTTTTCCCAACTGAATCACCCCAAACCCCCTAGACACATTCATACTCCTGAGATACAGAACTCGAACTTCAGACCTTGGTATCGTTTTCCTGGAAATTTGACAAAGCTCATTTGAAAAACCAAATTCCTCCTCTGAGGCTCTATCACCAGATTTATTTTCCTTTATGACGTTTATGGTGTGCCCAAATAGCCAAAAGTTATAAAGGGGCAGAGCTGTCCCAAAAAAAGGCAGAAGTCATGTGACATCTACAGTTCCCACTGTTTGGGGGGCTGAGAATCTGGTAAGCGGTGCACCTTGATCCATACCCACATGCTGGTCTTTCCACCTTGGATTCTACCTACCCTGTCCCACACTTGCACTTCAACCCCTCCCTTCCCCCATCAGTCATTTCTCAGCTTCATCTGTAACTTCCCTGTCTTACTGCTGCTTGCCTAAATCAGGCAGGGTCCCAGCATAAAACAAAGTTCTGCTCAGATATTTCAACTCAGTCTTGTGCTGGAGCTGACTCGTCTGGGAAGAGTCAACTGCTAATTCCCAGGAATTTTGCAAGTTAGTTGTTAAACATAGTCATTATTAAAAATTAAATTAATTCATAACTAATTATACTAAAAACAAAAGTAATGATAATCAAAACACATCTCTCATCTCTCTTCCTCATTATTTCACTACATTTCACTATTATGTACAACCGTGAGATTATTTACATCTATTTTATCTTTATAGTGGAACTACTGGGCATCTTTTCCCAACCCTGTGTCTCATGGAATCATTTTGGGCCATGGTGAGAATATTTACCCCACAGAAATTGGCAAATGCTACAAATGTGGACTTTTTTGTTTTTCTGCCAGAGATCCAGTTGTTAAACATTTACCAGCAGACCACTACTTCAACTGAAGTTGGAACCAATGGATCTATTTGGGTTAAGAAAATAAAATTAAGGAAACCAACTAGAGATGTTGCGTTGTCTCCCAGAGACTAGCAACAGAGAGAAGATTACTACTCTCAGAGCTGAGTGAGTGAGAGCAGGCACCAGAGAGAAGCACCTGCCTGGATAGGACCATAGTCCCAGAGAGAACAGCTTCTGCCAGAGAACAGTGTGGAAGAAGGGAGGGTACATGGCACACAGAGTAAATGCTTCTCTGTCTTCCCCACCTCTGATCACAGGCTACTGGCTGAACCCATCAGGAATCCAGCCAGCCAGTTAGCCTGGGCCCTGCAGTCCACAGATGTTGTAGGTTGGGTTCACTAGAGATGGGGGTTAGTGTGCAGGACACTTAACAGAGAGTGCTCTTGGGATGACCAACCCTGGAAGGGAGAGGAAGGAAACAGGATTGGGCAGAGGAGGAGGTGGCACATGGTGCATACCCAGCTAAGGCCTCAGATGAGTCCATGCAAGCTCTGAAGCTTGAATGATCCTTCAGATTTCTTTCAAGTTGGAGCAAATGGTGGCGGGAGGAGGGGTGGCCTTTATAGCCCCTCAATAATCAGTCACTGGACACAGCTGCCCCTGAGAGGAGGCACGACCTTAGACGAGACATGTTCTTCAGGAGACAAAATCCCAAAAAAGGGTTGACATGTGAGGTTGGTCTTCCAGCATTTAGGGGACTAAGTCCTGCATTTCTAGATGAGGGACTGGGTGGGGAATCACAATACACACTAGGCGGGAGTCAGGATCCTAGGATGCCAATTTGGGCCAAAAAAAGAATGGATCTGGAAGTGGTAGAGAGAAGAATGGGGAATGATCACACATCACGCTGCAAAGCTCAACTTGTGAGTCAGCCTCTTGCAGAAGCAATGTGTGACGCTCCTGCTCATGTACTGTCATAATCCGTATGCAAACCTTCATCCTTGTTCTCAACAGACAGTATTAGACAAGTCTGTTGACTAATCTGTCCCCCTGTGAGCTCTGTGACCACAGGACTTGTACCTTCTCCATCCTTGTTCCAATTCTGGCCTAGCCATTAACAAAGCTTAAGAGATCCATCCCTCATAATCACGAAGGTGTCTTAGATGAAAAAATAAAAATTTACCCAGAGAAGGAGAAACCAAGCTGCTACAAGAAAAAAAAATCATTATCCTTATGACAAGACTCCACAGCATACTGCTTTCCAAATCGTCATTGCTGATATGTCCCTGGAAGATTTCCAGTTAGTTAGCAAGGCTAATTTGTATCTATCACCATCAACCGATTTTCATCAACATATGTGGGAGGAGGAGGGGAATAAATTCAATGCAAAGAATTGTATTTTTTTAAGATGAAATGGAATGGGGGTAGGGCATCAAAGAGGTGCAATGCTGTGTTGTGGCACCAGTATAATAAAGATTGGTTTGAGCCTAGGCATCCTCTGAGTTTTCCTCCAGAGGTAGGTGAGAAGCAAGACATTTGAGAAGCAAGACATCTGAGTGTCCGTCTTGTCCAGCCGGCTCACCTGTTCCTCTGGCATTGGCAGAAGCCATGTGTCTCTGCAGTCAGCTTTGTATCACCACGCTCCTCTCTCTTTCATCCATGCCTTTGTTCCTGCCAGAGGCTGTAGGGGGTTAATCTAAGTATCCCAGGCAAGAGTGGAATCTACTGAGTTTCCTGAAACCTATATTTGCAAGGAAAAAAAAAGGTACTAAGTAGAGGAAGAAATTTAAAACTCGAATTGATTGGTCAAATGAAGAAAGAGTAATGTTTATATTTTCGAAATAGAAAAATCCATGTCGATGGGGCGTGTAACTGATCTGTGAAAACATCAGGTCTTGCTAGGTTGTTAAGTACTTCACATGTAACACCCTTACATGGTGTTTAATCTTCACGATAACTCTAGGAAGCATATAATAAACCCATTCTCATCACTATTTTATAGCTTTTTTTAAACTGAAGCTTTGAGAAGCTAAGTGATTTGTCTAAATCTGTGTTTGATCCCAACTCAGAGTCACTCAGAAGAATTAATGGGAGGACAATTGAGATAACTTCTGACACTTGGCGCCTTGGAGGAAAAAAATGATGCCACCTTTCACTGAATAGCACTGGAAGACTAGTGGGGGCTTGGGTGAAGGGTACATCACCTAAACCAAGGAGACTACCTTAGTCTATAATAAATATCTCCTCTCCCACCCCAATAAGGTTAGGTGGAAGCTCTATAAGAGACAAAAAATCCTATAGTCTTGAGCTTGATGGGTCTTGGTATTAATGGTATTTGAGAGAAACCCAGAGAGGAGGATTCATGGAAAGTAATCACTGCACACTCAGTGTGAGGAGAAACTGAGTCGCCATCCTCATGTTCCATGGAAAAGAGGACTCTGCCCCTTTTCCTCTTCAGAAACAGCTCCAATCTCTGCAGAGGAGGAGCTTCCCTTCCCAGTGTACACTCAGACAGAAAGTTTCTTGGGCCATGGTGGGGTTACTGTGCTTAAAACACTGTCTGCCAGGACCCTCCTTTCTTCAGCTGCTCTCAGACTGAACATTTAGGAAAGATATTTTTAGAGTGAATGAGAACTGTTGGAGGTAATTTATACCGCAAAGAGATCCAAAGGAACTTTTGAACAACACAGTTTGTGTAAACCAGGGATGGTCTCAGTGAATCACCCAATTATTTTGAATAAATAATAGCTAATAATAGTGTATAGTTTTATGTATCAGGTGTTCTGCTAAGCATATTACAAACATGATTTTATTGCCTCCCTATAACAACCCTATTTATAAATAAAGAATTTGAATTTTGGAGAGGATAAGTAACATGCCCAAGGTCACATAGCTATTAAGGAGCCAGGAATCCATTGTAATTCTGAAGTTTACATTTGTAATCAGCAAATTGTACGGTCTCTTAGAAGCTTAGAGAAGACCCAGCAGCAGGAAAAGTAGAAGGCTATAAAGACCCCAGAAAGCAGGACATGGCAGTAAAAGTGATACCCTGACCCACATAGTAAAGAACCAGTGTGTTTCTAAAATGTGGAAGTCAGTTTGTTTGTTTGTTTTTCATACAATTGTATGTCACATTATCCAATTCTTAGTATTTCTTCCATTTAGAACCCGAATTAGAGGCAAACAACAGTCACCTGGTCGAGCACTTTCCAGGATGGTGACTTTGAACAAACCAAATATCATAAACTCCTAAAATTATTCCATTTAAGTGTCTCCAGTCACTATCTGTTAGAGATGTGAAAACAATTTATTATAGATGTGAAGTTTATCACTACCCAAATGGTGATGTAATTAGACAACAATCCAAATAAACAATGTCACTGAAAAAAATCACTTTGGTATGATGTACTAAAGCCAGGTCCTGCTAGCACACAAGAGCCAATTGTTAAATTTTTAGGAATTTTGTGAGCTGATTATAAAATATAACCACAGTTAAAAGTTAAATTATAGGCGCTTACAATTAAATAAATTATATTAAAAACAAAAGTAATAAACACTCAAACCTCCTTATTCCCTAATGATTTTACTACATTTTACTATTATCTATGCTTTTGAGGCTAAATCCAACTATTTTTTTTTTCTTTACAATAAGGTCTCACTCTGTCACCCAAGCTGGAGTGTAGTGGCATGATGAAGACTTACTGTAGCCTCAACCTTCTGGGCTCAAGCAATCCTTCCACCTCAACCTCCTGAGTACCTGGAACTACAGGCACATGGCCACCATGCCCAGCTAACTTTTTAATTTTTTGTAGAGATGAGATCTTGCCATGTTGCCCAGGCTAGTCTTGAACTCTCCTGGCCTAAAGTCATCCTCCTACCACGGCCATCCAGTGTTGAGATTACGAGCATGAGCCACCACACCTATCCTATTTCCAACAATTATATCTGTATAGTGGAAATGCGATGTGACAGTTTGCTACTATGCATCCCTCCCCAGTGCCATCTTCAATGATATCACATTGGTAGCTTAAAGCTGACCATGGTGGGGGTATTTACACCATGGAAATTGTCAAATACTACAAATCAGGATCTTTGTTTTCTTGCTTGCTGGGAAGCCAGTTGTTAAACATCTAGCAGCACACCACTGCCTGTTCCCATGGGGAATACTGCTGAGCTAGGAAAAGCCCCGTCAGACTGCTCTGCATCTCCAGGAAGGCATAAATTGCTGGTGAGCAGTACTATGATACTTTTCTATTGCTTTATAACAAATAACCCCAAAAGTTAGTGGCTTAAAACAATACACATTTATCAGCTCTCACAGCTTTTATGTGTCAGGAATTTAGAGGCAGCATAGCTGCATGGTTCTGGTTTGGAGTCTCTAATGAGGTTATAATCAAGGTATCTGCTGGGGCTGTAGTCATCTGAAGTCTTCTCTGGGACTGCAGGATCTGTACTCAAGATGGCTCACATGGCTGGCAAGTTGGTGCCAGTATTAGTAGGAGGTCTCAATTCTTTCCTACGTGGGTCTCTTCACAGGGCTGCTTGAGTTTCCTGACAGCATGGTGACCTGTTTACCTCAGAGCATACAATCTAAGAGCCCAAGACAGAAACTCCAATTTTTTTGTGTGTGATCTAGCCTTGAAAATCACACACCATCATCTCTGCTATATGGTATTAGCCAAACACAGCAGCTCTGACATGATATAGAAAGTGACTACACAAGGACATAAATGCCAGGAGGAGAGGAACTTTGGAGGCTGATGACCACATGAGGTTATTCAGCAGGAAGGACAATGAAATCACTCCTCTAACTAGGTGATTTATATAACAGAAATTTATTTTCTCACAGTTCTGGAGGTTGAAAGTCTGGGATCACGGTGCCAATATGGTCGGGTGCTGGTGAGGACTCCCTCCCTGGCTTGCTTTTTGCTTTGTACTCACGTGATGGAGAGAGAGAGCTTGCTGGTGTCTCTTCTTATGAGGACACGAATTCTGTAAGATCAAGGCCCTACTTTGGGACCTCACTTAACCTTAAATACTTTCTTAGAGGCCCCATGTCCAAATGCAGCCAAACATTCAGTCCATAGCAGACATTACTCTAACAAAGACTCATTTTACAAATGAGAAAAACCAAGGCTTCAGGAGACTTGATGTCCCATAAGCAGTAGGCCTTTACTAAAAATAAGGGCTGGTGATTCATTCTAACCTTAAAATGTTTTTTAAATAATGAATATCCATGCTTTCACACATTGCACATTTGGCACAATTGCCCATTTCTCACCCCCATAGTGGTGATATGAACAAACATTATACAACAATAAAGACCACAGAAATAGGCCTGGCGCGGTGGCTCATGCCTGTAATCCCAGCACTTTGGGAGGCCGAGGTGGGTGGATCACGAGGTCAGGAGGTGAAGACCATCCTGGCTAACACGGTGAAACCCCATCTCTACTAAAAATACAAAAAATTAGCCGGGCGTGGTGGTGGGCGCCTGTAGTCCCAGCTACTCGGGAGGCTGAGGCAGGAGAATGGCATGAACCGGGATGTGGAGCTTGCAGTGAGCCGAGATCACACCACTGCACTCCAGCCTGGGGGAGAGAGTGAGACTCCATCTCAAAAAAAAGAAAAAAAGAAAAAAAAAAAAAACAGAAATAATGGAATGAACAAAGGGCCAGATTTGGAGAACAAACATACAAACTCATCACTCTGTAGTTTAATGACTTAAGACCCATTAATTATCCTCACTAAACTCATGCCTCCATATCTGTAAGATGGGAATAATAATGCCTGTTTCACACAAGCCTTGTGAGACCTAAATAAGATAAGGCTTGATAGGGTGCCCGGCACATTTCCAAGCTCTCAATACTTAATAATTGCTGCCATTTATTTCACAATTAAACAGAAATAAGACTCTGAATAGGAAAACGAAATGGATTAGCACAGAATGTGAGGTTGTACTACCCACCTACCGGGTCATACAGGTTCCCACTGGACCTGTGGTTCAGATACCCCTAGATTCCTTAACTCACTGCTTTGCATATTCAGCTGATGACAGGCAGAAAACATCCAGAGAATATATGATAAATATAATAAAATAATCCATCTGCAATATCTATTTAGTAACAACTATATGTATGGCACTGTACTAAACATTGATTAATTATTCCAACTGTCTAGAAAACAAACATCTAGGTGGGATGGCAAGGCAGGAAAATTATGCCCCCTACTCCAGGATAACATCGGGCTGTAACGATAAAGGCTTATGTTCAGCAACTGTTGCATTTGGGGGTCAACCTCCTATTTCTTATCTGAACAAATATTACCTATTCCCCTAACCTTCATTCTATGGCTAGGAGTTCTAAAGCAATGAGGATCCAAAGTTACACAGGAGTATTTTTCACCATGGCTAATGCCAGGAATGCTACTCACAATTTCTACAAAATCATCCCTAGAATGTTAGAGCTACAAAAATTGCAGAGCTTTCCAGCCCAGTCTTATCATTAGAAAAATATGCCCAAGACAGGTAAGTGATTTTGACCAATCAAGCAATGCTAGAAAATGATAGCATCAAATTTAGAACTAAAATAGCTTGCTAGATCTCAATTTTTTCTTATTAAGGAGTTTAAATAACTGCTTTTATGACCTCTTCATAATCAATGAAGACATATGGTGATTTCTAAGCACTGTCAATGTCCTATAGCCAAAGACTACCAGGAACCACACCACAGTGAACCATCGACCATCTCAGACAGGATGTTCAAAAGGACTTACAGAATTTGGGCTTCTGAAAGGTTATTTTAGAGAGGGTTCAAGGAAGTGGGACTTCACTGTAGGTTGAGTGCCGTCAAAAAGTGGGGTAAGGGCCGGGTGCGGTGGCTCACGCCTGTAATCCCAGCACTTTGGGAGGCCGAGGCTGGTGGATCACGAGGTCAGAAGATCGAGACCATCCTGGCTAACACGCTGAAACCCCATCTCCACTAAAAATACAAAAAATTAGCCGGGCGTAGTGGTGGGCGCCTGTAGTCCCAGCTACTCGGGAGGCTGAGGCAGGAGAATGGCGTGAACCCGGGAGGCGGAGCTTGCAGTGAGCCCAGATCGTGCCACTGCACTCCAGCCTGGGCGACAGAGTGAGACTCCGTCTCAAAAAAAAAGAAAAGAAAAAAATTGGGGTAAGAAAATAAATTGTATGTAGAAGGAAAGAGGAATGAAGTGAGGAAAGATCTATGAGTGACAAAGCAGTTACTTGCATTAGCCAGAAAAGGGAGATGTTTGGTCTTTTTTGCAGTTGGAATGATGTTGCTTTTGTCCATGCTCTGGCATGATTATGAAGTGGTCTTGATTCAGCTTGCTCCATCAGGTTCACAGAATGGCCTTCTCTGATGTCAGTCTTGTGTAAAATTATTTATATTCAATAAAGAAACACCAAAGCTCAGTTATGAGCGCCAGGGCGGCTCCTGGGACTGGTTTTCTCTTTCTCAATATACATTGAAAAGGACCAAAGGAAAGAAGAAAGGAAAGGAAGAAGGGAGGGGAGTTAGTTGAGTCTAACTATGTCCCAGACACTTTATCTTATTTCATTTTCATTCTATAACTGAGGAAATGTATGTTTCAAGAGCTTAACAGATTTTCTGAGGATCACACAGAAGCTAGTAATAAAACCGAATTTCCCACTGTTTCATTTCTATACAAATCAGAGAAATGAGTCATAGACTCATAGACAAGTCACATAAGCTTCTGAATTTGAAATGTGTTGCTTTAGAATAATACACAAATTCTACATTGTCTTACCTGCCTCTCTGCTGACAAGTATTTCTCAGCATTTATGTACAAAACCCTCCAATCTGTTGGTCTGAAACCCACATACCATTGTTGATAGCATCATATTTGGAATATCTTCTCCCAAAATAGTCAATCCTCAACAGTAAAAGTGAGCAATTGCATAAACAAAAACATAGGAGAATCTTTAAAACAAAAATCTATTCTAATTTGAGAAGATGAATTTGCCACAGACTGGAAATTCCAGTTGATACTGGTTTTCAGTTAATTCCAAGGAAAGACTGAGTCCCTGAGAATGCTCCCACACCCAGCACAGGGACATTATGACAGGAAGTCAGATAGGATTAAACTTTCCCACAGATAATCTACAAAGTGAATGACAACATGCAGTTTAAAGTGAAGCTAAAAATAGAAAATCCCACTCTCTTGAGTCTGTAAAGGAACATATGATAAGTTAATATCTTGACATTATATCTACACTTGAAGTACTAGAAGCCATCACATGTTTACATTAAGGTGGAAACAGTTTATCTATTGGGGTTGCATGCATTGTTTCAGGTTTTCAATGTTTAATAATAGATGAAAATTATTTACTATTGTTGATATTCTGAGACTGATTAATAAATTAATAAATCTATGTCTTGGAAACACTCTTCTTCTAGAGCAAAATGTATGGCAGATTATAAATCCCAAACAGAATTGACTATATAACCATAAGTATATTTATTGCTATGGAAAAAATGTGTTAATTATATTCTTTTTAGTCAAGGAAAAATGACTTTCTCTACTGAGCCATAAAATGCTAGTATTAGCATTTTGGTGTTAATTCAGAAGTTAATTTATGCACTTTTTATTTTTAAAAAAGCAGGCAAGTATTTTGAGTTCAATGAACCTAAATCCAGATTTCTCTTGTAAAATCAGTTTAAGCCAAACTAAACTCTCTATTTAAAGGAATATGGTAAATTGACTAAAACCTTATCTTTAAACCAATTCTAATATACCCTCTAAGTTTTAGCAAGAATTCTAGCATATGAGCTATAAAATATAACCATTTCAAGGTTGCTTCTTTTGTACTGGATGGTAATAATATCTTCTCCTTGCAGAATCTCACCACACAAAATTTCAAAGGCAGGAAGAAAAGGAGAATACCTGAAAGACTAATTACAGAGCTGGAGAGATACATGATAAAGCATTAAAATAAGTGAAATAGATGAATTATCAGAGGGGAGAGCTGAAGACAGATGAACTATATTTAGTACACTAATCCCAAGTGTTTATTTTGCATTCTTCTGGCCTTTAAACATGACAGTTTGTGATCAATTGCTTCCCTTGAAGGCTGGCTGTTTTCCTGACCTAGTATTTAATTTCTGTTTGATGTTCTTCACTTTGTGTCAATGTATGAACTACTGTTAAGATATATAGCAGCAGTTAAAATAATTCATCCATCTGCTTATAATTAAAGACCAAGCTAAATGTAATGACAACTTTATCTAGCAAGCTATCATCTAAAAAGCAGGTTGTCCCCACAACAATTTCTCCAGCAGATGAACTGTTCCAGTTAGTAGTAGCTCAAAATTTTTCCTTCAAAGGATGGGGATTTTAATCAATGATGTCACTGGATAAGTGAAATGGGAGAAAACACAGAAATATCCTTTATTTATTTTTTGTATTAACAAAAATAGTTTCTCGCTGACTAGCTCAAAGCTTGGAGTAGAAAAGTGGCTTCTGACTCGATGATTTTCAATTAATCAGTCACAATGATGAAAGGTGACTGGGAAAAAAACTCAAGTGCCCTAAATTTTTTAAGGAAAATAATGAGACCAGCTTTATGGTAAAGTAATTGCTGAAGACACTGCTATTTTAGAATGAAGAACAAATCTCTCAGAGTATTTTTTAACTTATTGCTATTCTAGAGTAAACAGAGCACACTAGTTTTATATACATATATAGATAGAGATAGAGATATAGATAGAGATACAGATTTTTTTTTTTTTTTTTTTTTTTGAGACGGAGTCTTGCTCTGTCACCAGGCTGGAGTGCAGTGGTGTGATCTCAGCTCACTGCAATCTCCACCTCCCAGGTTCAAGCGATTCCCTTGCCTCAGCCTCCCAAGTATCTGGGACTACAGGGAGGCACCACCACACCCGGCGAATTTTTTATATTTTAGTAGAGATGGGGTTTACCATGTTGGCCAGGATGGTCTCGATCTCCTGACCTCGTGATCCACCCACCTCAGCCTCCCAAAGTGCTGGGATTACAGGCGTGAGCCACTGTTCCCGGCCTAGTTATATTTTTTAATACAAAAATCAGGGAGGAAAAATCTAAATTATTCACTTAAATTTCCTACCACCCTGAAATAAATAAAATTACTGATTCATACTGTGTTTAATGCCTTTCTGCCTTTTCTTAACTAGATATATATACATATATACAGAGATCTATACAAAATTAAAATCATTATTACACACTGTTTTTGAAAGCTGCTTTTTCCTTTTTTTCACATACCTTATGAACATTTTAATATATTTAAAAGAGTATAAAAAATGAAGCCAATAGTTTTATATTAAATAGTATATGAAAACCAAAATCTTGTCTTAAATATCCTTTGATCATTCTCTGATGAGCACAATTTGATTAGCAACCAAAAAAGCTAAAGAACAAAATGAAAATGCTGTAAAAATACACCTGGAAGAGCCTTTTGGCATGTTTTCATAATCATAATTGACCATCATAAATTTAATAGGATTGCACACCAAGAAATGGCTCATAAGTAACTTCATTCAAATGACTTCGCCAAGTCATGTGACCAAGCTATTTTAGACTTTACATGTATTTTTCTATTTAAGATGATGCTTGAAAACATATCCTCTGGTGACCAAGAAATCAAATCTTGAGAAACCTACCAGAAAATATTTTAGTTTAATTTATCAAAGGAATTAATATATAGATGTTCTGTTTAGAAGACTCATAGTTCAGAGTCCTCAGTATAAAATAAAGGGTAAAACATCATGCCTGATATACTGCACCAAACATTGTAGGTCATTTAAGAATGTACGCTGATCATTAAAAATCTGCCTTATTTTTGTACCAAGTATTTTGTGTTAATATTTGGGGGCTAAAGTAAGGTGTCCTCAAGAATTTAGAAATAACAGATTATCTTCAGAGATAAATATAAGAGCAGCCTAACATGAGACAGTGCATATAGAGATCAAGTCACCTGATTGGCTCACAGGCTAACAGGCTTGACTATAACCAGATGGAACACATTACAGTAATATATTCTAAAAATCAATCTGTCAATCAAAATAAGGATGGATTGGACAAGACAGTTTATTACCAGTGCCCAGCAAAGCATAATCCAAGAGAAAGGAAGGTCTAACCATTGGAGTTGGTGTGTTTCTTCCAATTCCAATGTAAGGGCACTCCTAAAGTATAATGGGATGCAGGATGAAACCAACAGACATCATTCTATCTTGCCCCACTGGCAAGGCTAACTTGTTTACTAGAGGTGTCTGACTACCTTGGTCCACTGTTGTTTAGGATTTTTTTATCTAACTCTCTTTGTTCCAATGTTGTACTCCCCAAATGACCTTCAAATTCTCAAATCAGTTGGCTACAGAGAAAGAAAGGAAATTGACCTTCTTAATGTGAACATTTCTGGTCTTTACAGCAGTGGTTTCATGTCGTAAATGAACACAGTGAGAAACCATGTAGTTTGATGATAGGGAAAAAATAAACTCATCATAAATCTCCATTATCCTCTTCCATACGTGATATGGTTTTGATCTGTGTCACCACCAAATCTTATGTCAAATTGCAGTCCCCAAAGTTGGAGGTGGGACCTGGTGGGAGGTGGTTGGATTATGGGGGTGGATTTCTCATGATGGTTTAACACCATCCCTTAGTGCTGTTCTCATGAAAGTGAGTTCTGCCAAGAGCTGGTTGGTTAAAAGTGTGTGGTACCTCCCCCTCTCTTCCTCCTGCTCCAGCCATGTGAAATGCCAGCTTCCCCTTTGCCTTCCGCCATCATGGTAAGTTTCCTGGGGCCTCCCAGAAGCTGAGCAGATGCCATCATGCTGTCTGTACAGCCTGCAAAACCGTGAGCCAATGAAACCTCTTTTCTCTATAAATTACCCAGCCTCAGGTATTTCTTTATAGAAATGCAAGAATGGACTAATATAATGTGATGGCTCCATTTCTCACTGTGGATTAATAAATTATTATTCTTAGCCTCATGTATTCTTAGCAATGAGAAGTCAATATATTGAGGCCTGATGATCTTTGAATGGATAGGAAGCAGGTCAAAGGCCTGGCCAATCTCCCCTTAGAGACCTCTGACTTTGCTTTAGTTTCTCTCATCTAATACAGACATACCTCACATTTTTGTACTTTCTAGATTGCTTGTAGCAGATATTGCATTTTTAATAAATTAAAGGCTTGTGGCACCCTGCATTGAATTGAGCAAGTATATGGGCACCATTTTTCTAACAGTACATGCTCACTTTTCGTGAGCTCGCTTTTTGTCTTTGTGCCACATTTTGGTAATTCTCACAATATTCAATCTTTTTCATTACTGAAGAAGCATATCTGCTAGAGCAATCTGTGATAAGTGATCTTTGATGTTACCACTGTAATTGTTTTAGGGTCAACAAATTGTACCCAAATAAGATGCCCAACATAATTCATAAATGTTGTATGTGTTCTGACTGCTCCACTGGCCATTCCCTCATTTCTCTCCCTCTCCTCAGCTCTCTCTACCCACTGAGAGGATCATATCGAAGTTAGGCCAATTAATAACCCCATAATGACCTCGAAGTGTTCAAGTGAAAGGAAGAGTCTCATGTCTCTTACTTGAAATCAAAAACTATAAATGACTACGCTTAGTGAGCACGGCATATCAAAAACCAACATAGGCCAAAAGCTAGGCTTTTTGTGCCAAACAGCCAAGTTGTGAATGCAAAGGAAAAGTTCATGAAGGAAATGAAAAGTGCTACTCCAGTGAATCCATGAATGGTAAAAAAGCAAAACAGCCTCATTGCTGATATGGAGAAAGTTTGAGTGGTCTAGATAGATCAAACCAGCCACAAAATTCCCTTAAGCGAAAACCTAATCCAGAGCAAGGACTAACTCTCTTCAACTCTGTGAAGGGTGAGGGAGGTGAGGAAGCTTCAGAAGAAAAGTTTGAAGCAAGCAGAGATTGGTTCATGAGGTTTAGGGAAAAAAGCTATCTCCATAACATAAAAGTACAGAAGAAAGCAGCAAGTGCTGATATAGAAGCTGCAGCAAATTATCCAGAAGATCTAGCTAAGATCCTTGATGAAGGTGGCTACACTAAACAAGAAATTTTCAGTGTAGACAAAACAGCCTTCTACTGGAGAAGATGCCATCTAGGACTTCAGAGCTAGAGAGAAGTCAATGCCTAGCTTCAAAGGTTCAAAGGACAGGCTGACTGTCTTCTTGGGGGTTAATGCAGCTGGTGACTTTAAGTTGAAGTAAATGCTTATTTACCATTCTGACAATTCTAGGGCCCTGAAGAATTAAGCTAAACCTATTCTGTCTGTGCTCCAGAAATGGAGCAACGAAGCCTGGATGACAGCACATCTGTTTGCAGCATGAATTACTAAATATTTTAAGCCCACTGTTGAGACTTACGGCACAGGAAAAAAAGCTTCCTTTCAGGATAGTACTACTCATTGACAATGCACCTGGTCACCCAAGAGCTCTAATAAAAGATGTACAGAAGATTAATATTGTTTTTACACCTGCTAACACAACATCCATTCTGTAGTCCATGGATCAAGAAGTAATTTTGTCTTTTAAGTCTTACTGTTTGTGAAATATATTTCATAAGGCTATAGGTATCACAGGTAGGGATTCTTCTGATGGATCTGGGAAAAGTAAATGAAAACTTCTGGAAGGTACACACTATTCTAGATCCATTAAGAATATTAATGATTCATGAAAAGAGGTCAAAATACCAACATTAACAGACTTTAGAAGTTTTTTCCAACACTCATGAATGACTTTGAGGGGTTCAAAATTTCAGTGGAGGAAGTCACTGCAGATATGGTAGAAAAAGAAAGAGAACTCGAATTAGATGTGAAGCCTGAAGATGGGACTCAATTGCTGTAATCTCAAAATAAAATGTAAATGGTTGAGGACTTGCTTCTTATGGATGAGCAAAGAAAGTGGTTTCTTGAGATAGACTCTACTCCCAGAAAAGACACTGAACGTTGTGGAAATGACAACAAAGGATTTGGAACGTTATATAAACTTGGTTGATAAAGCAGTGGCAAGGTTTGAGAGGGTAGACTTTAATTTTGAAAGTTCTACTGTGAGTAAAATGCTTTCAAACAGCATCACATGCTACAGAGAAATCTTACATGAAAGGAAGAGTCAGTGGATGAGCCAAACTTCATTACCGTCTTATATTTTTAAATTTCCCCAGCCACCCTAACCTTCATCAACCATCACCCTGATCAATCAGCAGCCATCAACATGAAGGCAAGACCTTCCCCCAGCAAAAAGATCATGACTCTGCTGAAGGATCAGATGATCATTACCATTTCTTAACAAAGTATTTTTTATTTAAGGTATGTACATTGTTTGTTTTAGACATAATGTTATTGTACACTTAATAGACTACAGAATAATATAAACATAACTTTTATATGCACTGGGAAACCAAAAAAAATTGTGTGACTCATTTTATTGCTATACTTATTTTACTGCAGTGGTCTGCAACCAAACCTACAATATCTTAGAAGTAGGCCTATGTCTACACACATAAATGCACATAGAGACCATCTGGCAGTGCAGGGGTGAGCTTGTATTTGAGACAACATAAGCAAGACCTGAATTAGAGCATTTTAAGAACCTCCAACATTAAAATTGCAGCATTTTACTACATGAAGTATTCTCACTCCTAGTTACATGGCAGAAGAATAAAACCAAGTTCATGGATAAATTTTATACTTTGAATTGTTTAAACTACCAATACATAGTAGTAGTGAAAGTATTAGCTAGTTCTCCCACACTCTCAAATAAAGTGTGTACCTGACTCATACAACAAAGCTATTCAGGGCTTCATCCAAGAAGCCAAGAAGTTTTTCCAAGAAGTTTGATGCCTGTTGGCTACAGAGACCCTGAAGGAGAGTTGCAATTGTTTTATGAAAGCAATGGGAGGGTACAGCAAACTGGACCACTGTACATATTGAGACAATGCTGGGGACCTTGTTAGGAGTGAGTCAAGGATACTGCAGGAGTGTACAGAGACCTGAGCATAAGACAAAGATAGCAATTATTCTCCAAGTTACTACAGCCAAGAAGTGACAAAGTTGTCTCAGGCCACCCAGAATGCCATGTGCCCTTTGAAGAAAAAGATAGAATGGGAGAAGGACACTTTGCTATCCTCAGGACCCTCTTGTCCACACCCAAAAAATATGAAGCTCCAGTGGGAATCCAGTAAGATTCAAAGGCTCTCCCAATGACAGGGGATCTTGCTCCTTCTGTCTATCAAAACTTCCCACACTCAAGTTTTATTCTTCAGTTTAAGTCTATCAATCCTATTAAAATGTAAATGTTCCGATTGGATTTGAACTTAACCTGGTGTATTCAATATGGAACTCAAGGGGACATGGAGGTCAGTGACTTACTAGAGTGGAGTTAAGCAATAAAGAAAAGACTTCCTGTGGATTGAGGACCACAGGGGTATAAACTGTTCTCCCAAGGAGTAGAAAGTGGCCTCTTACATCACCAGACCCATGGTCTCTCATTCACAATGTTGTGAAATCATACTTGACACTCTGATTTCATTTTCCAATATAGCTTATAACAGAAACTGTAACAGTTCATTATTTTTCTTCTGATGAAGGCTACAATGTAATGATTTTCAAGAAAAAATACTAATCCTTCTTAGTTACACAATAAAGTATTTTGTTACTATTCTTCATGTGTTAGAATATAATGAGAAAACATTTTGGAATGATTTGAGTTTACTGTAATTATTGTTCATTCTGAAAGCTTGGATGAGTGAAGGTGACAAGATCCAACTTGTTTCTGCTTAAACTGGACCAGGTTTTAAATTAGGTACCCCAAGATGAAAGGCTAATGCCTCAAAGACCAATATATGTTTAATCATTTTTAATGTAAAAGCAACGTGTAAAAGAAAACAATTTTTAATTGTTAGCAACATGAGTAAATATACATAAAGAAGGTGGCTTTTTTGTCCAAAACAATCATTTCGACAAGGAGAAGTACAAAAATATGAATCCAGTAGAAAAGTGAATCTTCCCCATTAGGGTTTTCAACAAAATAGGTTTTGCCTCCTTCCTCCCCTCATACCAAGCTCTGACTCCATTTTTCCAAGCACTCACCAATAAGAAATAACTCAGAAATTTAAAAAAATATAACAAATCTTTACTCAATATAAACCCAGTTGTGAATTCATATTCTAATAATAACAATATGCTCTGTATTTTTGATAATGCCAAACTGAAGCTTGGCAAAAGTCCAGGGCAGCGAGAAACAGTGGGCATGGGCATGAGCTATGTTTCTGTTTATATTCCCTTCCCAAAGCTATGATTTTAAGCAGGGGATTCTGCCTTAATCACAGACACTTAGTAAATGAAAGTGGCTTATATTTCTCAAGTAAGTTTGAATCTCTTTGGTCTGGCAGAAAGTCAAGCTTCCCAAATATTTTTATGTAGAACCATCTCCAGTCACATAAAAGGCATAATTAGACAATCAAATAAAGATCTATAAGACTACATAAAGAACATCTGGGTAATTTGTTAACTAGCTGATATTTAGTCCTCCAGTTATAATACAGGCTTTATGTAACATACATTTTAGAACTAGTATAATATAGGTTTTATGTGATATACATTTATAACAAGTACATATGGTATATATTTTATAACTAGCACAAGTATGCATGTGGTATTCATTTTATAACTAGTATAATATAGATTTTTGTGGTATACATTTTATAACTAGTACATATTATAAAAATAGTCCATGCTGTAGTATACTATGGCATGTAATATCAAGAGTTTTGAAGATAAATAACAAAGATTATATAATCTCATATTCTTTCATCAGTAAAAAAGCTATAATGTTAAGAAAATACTTCAATAAGCTACACTCATTATTGTTTCCTATCTGGAAAAAAATGAAATACTGTAAAATTTCTATTCCAAACAGAACAGAATCTGGTTCAGGCCAGTACCAGATAGGTTTGGAAATGCTTTCAGATAAGCATCTAGCTCTGAATCTCTGAACTCTACAATATCAACCATTTTTATAAGCCTGATGATACATTCAGATACTTAAATAAGATACAGCCTTCTGATGCCTAACCACAAGATATATACATGCAGAAAATGAGGGGAGAAAGGTCACCAAGGAATGATATAGATTATACCAGAAACTGATCCATGAGCTATAACTGGGAAGCTGAAGATGATTTACATGTTTAAGGACCAGATGATTAAAAATAGAGGATAAGCTTTATTTATGCACAGTCATTAGCGTTTTCTGAATAATATAAACATAACCTTCCACATTACAAAGGTGACTCTTGATTCTCAAGAAGAGATTTAAAAATCTGTTTGGGGCCAAGCATGATGGCTCATGCCTGTAATCCCAGCACTTTGGGAAGCCAAGGCAGGAGGATAGCTTGAGGCCAGTAGTTCAAGACTAGTTGGGCAACATAGCAAGACCCCAACTCTATAAAAAACTTTTAGAAATTAGCCAGGCATGGCAATGTACATCTGTAGTCATAGCTACTTGGGAGGCTGAAGCAGGAGGATCACTAAGTCCAGGAATTCAAGGCTGCAGTGAGCCATGATCACGCCACTACACTCCAGCCTGGGCAACAGAGTGAAACTCTAAAAAAAATCAAATTAAATTTTAAAATAACTTTAAAAATTAAAAAAACCTGTTTGGTCCCTAGCCATAGGAACAAGTCTAGATTATTCCCTCTCTCTAAAGCCATTGAAACTGGCCTTTGTCCAGCTGGAAAATGCAAACTAGGATAACCAACTCAGATGCAAATGCACCACATTCCACATAAAAGTGGTTTAGTAAAGCAATATTGGCTTTCATCAAGAGATCAGATCAAGATGGTAAATGCAGTATTCCTGCTGCCTCCCTATCAGGGCTGGCTCTGTGGACATGTGGCATGTGTAGCCCCACTGGGACACACACGCAGGAAGAACCTCACAATTGCTTTAATGTTTCACTATCACTGTCATGATATTCATAATAATTTTTTCTTTGAACCTGTGTTTTGCAAATGAAGACTGATAGGACCATGGAGCACCCATGTGAACAGAGGAAGCACACACACTCCAGGCAGCAGTGCACACACACACACATACACACACACCACATAGACTCACACCCAGAGATACAACAGTCAGTAGCAACTGGAACAGCTGGCCTAGCCTCATGGGACTCACTAGCATCCTGGGGGCAGGCTGGTGTGATGCAGAGCCTGAGGGGGCAGCCATACTCAGACCTGGGCCCAGATTGGTGGTGGCATGGTGGTGATGGTGGCAGGTGCAGCAGAAGCAGCCCCATTAGTGTCCCTGTCCCAAGACAGGTGAGACTCTATGTTCCAGTGTTGGGACCATCGGTGGGATGCCAGCTTGCCATTCCATCCTTGGAGCCCAACCCTGTGCCTCAGCACAAATACTAACCCTCCAGCCTGAGGGTCCGGGTGGGAACTGCCACTTATCAGACAGTAAACCCTGTTAGTAAACAATTGCCAAGAAAAAGTACACATGGACATTACACAATAAAACATTTCAGGGAGTTATTATATGTTCAAAGAGGTATTACTAATTTTGAAAATTGCGGCAATGTTGCAAAACAAATATCCACAGGCTTAGAAACAGAAATTAAATGTAAAGATTGTCACATTCAATGGAAAATAACACTATTTTTATATGAAGCTTTAGATAAATTTTTAACAAAGAAGACAATTATCTCATTAATTTTTCATTAAAATTGAAGATGTAATGATAGAGTGCACAAAATGGCATTGTGAATTATATACAATCATTACACCACTTTTAATTCCTTGTACAGACCTCCACCAATTCCAAAAATAGCAGAGGAAATGTCAAACTATCATTGTGTAAATTAACAAAATTAAATTTGGAGTTACACAAAAGTGATTTGTATGAAGAGTTAAATCTATTTAGAAAAACTATTTCTTAAAAGTCATCAGCTATAGATACATTAAAATTTGTATTTCAAAATAATTCATCAGAAGTTAATCCCGATGTTGCATAGCACTAAAATACTTTTAACAGGTCCAATGACAGTTGTATCTAAAAAATCTCCTCCTCAGAATAAAAAATTATCTAAAATTATTTGTGATCTTGCATTTGTCAGGACCAACTCGTGTTATTTTTTAATTATATCAATTGAAAACAAAATTTCTAGAAGTATAAATTTTGATGACTTAATAAATGAATTTGCAGAAAAGTAAAAGTCTTACGTTCAATGAAGATGTCTTCTTAAAGAATTACTATTTATTTGCTACATAGAAGTGTGATACCTGTATTAGTTTCATAGGGCTGCTGCAACAAATTACCACAAACTGGGCAAACTAAAACAACATAAATTCATTCTGTCACAGTTCTGGAGGCCAGAAGTCCAAAATCAAGGTGTCAATAGGGTGGTGCTCTCTCTACAGGTTCCACCCTTCCTTGCCTCTTCCAGCTTCAGGTGGCTTCAGGTGTTCCCTGGCTAGTGACAGCATAACTGCAATCTCTGCCTCTGTCTTCACATGGCCTTCTCCTCTGGATGTCTCTGTGTCCTCTCCTCTGCTTCTCGGGACACTAGCTATTGGATTTAGTACCTACTTTAATCCAGAGTGACTTCACATTAATCCAGTTACATCAACAAAGACCCTGTATCAATGCTATGCTGCCATAAAAAATGATGAGCTCATGTCCTTTGTAGGGACATGGATGAAACTGGAAACCATCATTCTCAGCAAACTATCACAAGGACAAAAAACCAAACACCGCATGTTCTCACTCATAGGTGGGAATTGAACAATGAGAACACATGGACACAGGAAGGGGAACATCACACTCTGGGGACTGTTGTGGGGTGGGGGGAGGGGGGAGGGATAGCATTAGGAGACATACCTAATGCTAAATGACGAGTTAATGGATGCAGCAGACCAACATGGCACCTGTATACATATGTAACAAACCTGCACGTTGTGCACATGTACCCTAAAACTTAAAGTATAATAATAATAAAATTAAAACAAACAAACAAACAAAAAAGACCCTGTATCTAAATAAGTTTGTATTCTGAGGTTTTGAGTGGATATGAATTTTGGCAGACAGTAGTCAACTCACTACAACACCAAAAATGTTATTTTTTGCAATTGTTCAGTTTACGTTGCTCCTCATCCATCACTATTACTCCTATTATGTTTTATAAGTGATAAACATTTTTAAAGAAAAAAGCTTTATTATTTTTCAGTTTTGCAAGACGAAAAGAGTTCTGGAGCTGGACAGTGGCAATGGTTGTACAACAATGTAAGTGTAATTTACGCCATGGAGCTGAACACTTTAAAATGGTTAAGATGGTAAATTTTATACTATACGTACTTCACCGTAATTTAAAAGATTAAAAAATTAAAAATTTCAAAAAGAGGAGAAGAAATAATGTTTTCAACACAGATTAAAAAGTGTTAGCTATTTTTGCCTCTGAGGGCAATGTAAAATTTTTTTTTAAGTTTCCAGTTGAGGGGAAGAATGATGTTATACGGGAAAATTTAGTGACTTAGGAAAACGCTAGTGATTTTTGTTAGTAAAATATTATAAAGAAAAACTTTATATTACAGCACGTTTAACGACACTTCTTTTCCTACTTTTTGGACAAGATGTCCCGCTTTTTAACTTTGCACTAGATTCTGCAAATTATGTAGCCTGCCCTACTTCCTGTCTTATTCCAAAGTCCTAGATGTCCAAAAACATATGAAAAAAAAAAATGGCCAGGAGCAGTGGCTCATGCCTGTAATCCCGCACTTTGGGTGGCCAAGGCAGGCAGATCACCTAAGGTCGGGAGTTCGAGACCAGCCTGACCAACATGGAGAAACCCCATCTCTACTAAAAATACACAATTAGCCAGGTGTGGTGGCACATGCCTGTAATCTCAGCTACTTGGGAGGCTGAGGCAGAAGAATCACTTGAACCCATGAGGCAGAGGTTGTGGTGAGCCAAGATGGTGCCATTGCACTCCAGCCTGGGCAACAAGAGCAAAATTCCGTCTCAAAAAAAAAGAGAAAAAAAATCTTAGCTGTTTTTGAGTAACAATGAAGAAGTACCTAAGTCTATGAAGAATTATAAAAAAGATGAAAATAGATGAGATTGTATTATTAAAATGCAAAAATGTGTGTGTGGGATATCTACTATAAAGAGTGAAAGAGGATCCAGGGTACTCCAAGTCAAAATCTGCAGGTTGGGGGGACCTAAGTAGAAACCGCCAGACTCATTGACTTATGCACACTCTCTTCTTTATTCTCGCTAAACCAAGCAGAGTGCAAGAAAAGTATACAATGCCAGTCGGGAGCAGGGAACATTAGAGCTTCTAGACTAGGGTTAAAGAAGGATCTCAGGAGGCAAACACCACTTAGGAGAAACAAACTAGTCACTGGTTCATTTCATAGCACAATTGCCTTCTTCTACCAGCCTCCTGCAATTTCTGAAGACAGGCTGAAGGGAACTGATCAGACTTTCATAAACTTGGCTCTCAGATAACATAGACAAATACAGAAAATGTTTACCAAACATGTGAAGAATGCTGACATAAAAAGAGGCATCAAACTAAACCAAAGAATAACTTCCATCTGCCAAAGCTGGACAAATCGAGAAAGCAAACAAATAAGCCTATAGAATATATGTAACCAATGTCCTTATAAGATGTGAGAATATAGAAACCACGGGGGAAATTAAAATTTTAATCCTAGAGTTTAAAAAGATCCATAGATGGAGAAAATGGCTGAATGGATACAGTTGTTTTAATTATGTAACAATAGTGTTATTTTAACATTATTACAATGCACACACTAGAAAGTTCCCTGGTGCTCCTTCCAAGGTAATGTCTGCCCTGCTCTCTCCCTGCAAAACCGGGAAACCACTACTCTGATTTCTATCACTATGGATTACTGTATGGGGATACAGTCGAAAGTAACTTTAAAAACAGAAAAAGCAGTTAAAAATTCTCCAAAAGTATGTATAAAAGGAAAAAAATTAAAAACTTATGAAAGATAAGTTAAAGAGACATAAAAGATATCTTCCAGTTTACCAATGAATGTCTACTACAGTTCCAAAAAGAGAGGAAAAAGGAATCATTACACTTCAGCTTAAAAGAAGCCTTTGAGTCCTACGCAAGATGAATAAGATAGACTACAACTAAGCCCAACATGGCAAAATTCAGAAAGCTGAGAATAAAGAGAAAAGTCTTACCAGAAGACTGGTAAGAAGAAGGTGTGAAATAGATAATGCACTTTGATAAAAGAATGAGCCTTATGCTGGACTTGTTTTCTAGTAATATCAGATGAAAAAAGACAATAGAACAATGTTTCCCAAGATCTGAGGGAAAATAATTTTGAGCTTAAAATACTAAAACTAAATTATCCAAGTATAAGAATGAAAAAAGAGCATTTTCAGACTCAGAAAATGTAATTCTGAATGAATTACAAAAGGATGTGCTCTAGCAAGAAGAAAATTTAATCCAAACATAAGGAATCAGTTATAATAATCAATAATTTAAGTGATGATTACAAAAAACATTTAACAAGAATCTAACCTTTTAGATGATATCTCTGAGAAACATGAGGTAGGATGATGGAAGAAAAAAAGTTGAAAAAAAATAGTAAAAAGAACTAAATTTTTGATGACATCTCTGGAAGATCACGTGGTAGGGAGAGGAGAAACTGAAGAGGAGTAAAAGTGAATATTCTAGTGTTGTTTGTGGGAGAATATAAATACAGACTGATTCACTGATGAAAACGCAAATCAAAGTTTAAAGATGTTCATTAAAAGTGTAAGAGCAACCATTCAAAGAATAAAAATAGGATATTTAACTTCCAAACCACTGAAGAAGAAAAATAGATCAAAGAGACTTTGGTCAGTCTAAAACTGCCTGAAAATAAAAGAAAAGAACACAAATGAAAACATAAAACAAAAAATAAGTAACATAAATGAATCTAAATATTTTGTGAATGTAATGGGTTTGCTATATCCTATTACAAAACATAGACTTTCAGCTTAATTCTTAAAATGTAGCTACATATTGATTAAGAGACATTTCTATGAATAACAAAGATTAAAAATAGAGATTAGGTATGGGAATCATGGCGGATGGGAGGGAGGACTAGATTTGCAGCCGGGACAGAGCAGCATACGGAGGCTTATATTGTAAATTTTAGCTCCAGATTGACTGCAAGAACAAACCAGAAATCCTGAGAGGACCCACAGACCCTCTGAAGGAAGCAGACTGCTCCTGCAGGACCGGGTAGACACCCCAAATACTGTGAGTGCCCCAACTGTGCAAGTGGGAAACGGAGGCCCTCCTCTCACAAACAGACACCCCCACTGGAAAAGCTGAAGGTCTGTTTGCGGGAGAAATTTCCGACTTTACCTGGAGCTGAGTCAAGTTAGAGAGCCGAGCAAAAGACAGGGGTAGAGGAAGCAGCAGAAAGGCCCTGGGAGCTCACTGGGTCCCCAAGCAGCCCATTCCTGCCTGGCACAACAGGGATCCATTGGGAGGGTGGCTAGAGGAACAGGGGGTAAAACTCCACAGGGAGAAGGAATTCCCTAGCTGAACTTTGAAACAATTTGAACAGGGCAAGAAGCCTCCTGGCTAGAACTTGGGGAAGAGCATTAATCTGGTGTGGAGACTTCACAGGTTGGGGAAGAACTAAAGCCTTTTTCTTTCACAGCTAGGAGGCAGATATTCTCAGGAAAGTTTTTAAGCCCATCTTGCCCTCCGCCTAGAAACAGACTCGGGGCTGTTTGCTGTGGGGGGTGGGGGCACGGTGGGAGTGAGACTGGCCCTTCGGTTTGCATGGGAGCTGGGTGAGGCATGTGACTGCCCACTTTCCCCCAGTTCCCTGACAACCTGCATGACTCAGCAGAGGCAGCCATAATCCTCCTAGGTACACAATTCCAGTGGCCAGGGAAACTCACCCCCATCCCCCACAGCAGCCACAGCAAGACTCGCCCAAGGAGAGTCTGAGCTCAGATATGCCTAGCCCCACCCCCACCTGAGGGTCCTTCCCTATCCATCCTGGTAGTGGAAGAGAAAGGGCACATAATCTTGGGAGTTCTAGGACCCCACCCACCGCTGGTTCCTCTCCATACTACTATTATAGCTGATGCTTTCTGGAAAGCACAACCTCCTGGCAGGGGGCCAACCAGCATAAAAATACAGCATTAAACCACCAAAGCTAAGGACCCTCATGGAGTCCATTGCACCCTCCACCACTTCCACCAGAAAAAGTGCTGGTATCCATGGCTGAGAGACTCATAGATGGTTCACATCACAGGACACTGTGCAGACAGCCCCTGGTACCAGTCCAGAGCTGAGTAGACTTCCTGGGTGGCTACAACCAGAAGAGAGACAACAATCACTGCAGTTCAGCTCACAGGAAGCCACATCCATAGGAAAAGGAGGAGAGTACTATATCAAGGGAACACCCCTTGGGACAAAAGAATCTGAACAACAGCCTTCAGCCCTAGAACTTCCCTAGGACAGAGCCTACCCAAATGAGAAGGAACCAGAAAACCAACTCTGGTAATATGACAAAACAGGGTTCTTCAACACCCCCCAAAAAAATCACTCTAGGTCACCAGCAATGGATCCAAACCAAGAAGAAATCTCTGATTTGCCTCAAAAAGAATTCAGGAGGTTAGTTATTGAGCTTATCAGGGAGGGATCAGAGAAGGGTGAAGCCCAATGCAAGGAAATCCAAAAAATGATACAAGAAGTGAAGGGAGAAATATTCAAGGAAATAGATAGCATAAAGAAAAAAAAAACAATTAAAAATTCAGGAAAATTTGGACGCACTTTTAGAAATGCAAAATGCTCTGGAAAGTCTCAGCAATAGAATTGAACAAGTAGAAGAAAGAAATTCAGAGCTTGAAGACAAGGTCTTTAAATTAACCCAATCCAACCAAGACAAAAAGAATAAGAAAATATGAACAAAGCCTCCAAGAACTCTGGGACTATGTTAAATGACTAAACCTAAGAATAATCGGTGTTCCTGAGGAAGAAAAGGATTCTAAAAGCCTGGAAAACATATTTGGGGGAATAATCAAGGAAAACTTCCCCAGCCTTGTGAGAGACCTAGACACCAACATACAAGAAGCACAAAGACTACCTCAGAAATTCATCGCAAAAAAGATCTTCACCTAGGCACACTGTCATCAGGTTATCCAAAGTTAAGAGCATTACTTCCTTAAATTTATTAAGGTTTGTTTTATGGCCTATTGTATGGTCTATCTTGGAGAAAGTTCCAGGCACTGTTGAATAGAATGTGTAGTCTGTGGTTGTTGGATGAAGTGTTCTGTTTATACCAGTTAAGTCCATTTGGAAGGAAGGAATCTTAAGAGCTGTGAGACAGAAGCTCCAGGTAACCTATAAAGGAAAACTTATCAGATTAACAGCAGATTTCTCAGCAGAAACTCTATAAGCTAGAAGGGACTGGGGACATATCTTCAGCCCTCCTCAAACAAAACAATTATCGGCCAAGAATTTTGTATCCAGCGAAACTAAGCATCATATATGAAGGAAAGATACAGTAGTTTTCAGACAAACAAATGCTGAGAGAATTCACCATTATCAAGCCACCACTACAAGAACCACTAAAAGGAGCTCTAAATCTTGAAACAAATCCTGGAAACACATCAAAACAGCACCTCTTTAAATCATAAATCACACAGGACCTATAAAACAAAAATACAAGTTAAAAAGCAAAAACAACAAAAAAAGTACACAAGCAACAAAGAGCATGATGAAAGCAATGGTACCTCACATTTCAATACTAACATTGAATGTAAATGGCCTAAATGCTCCACTTAAAAGCTACAGAATCGCAGAATGGATAAGAGCTCACCAACCAACTATCTACTACCTTCAGGAGACTCACCTAAAACATAAGGACTCACATAAACTTAAAGTAAAGGGGTGGAAAAAGGCATTTCATGCAAATGACACCAAAAGTGAGCAGGGGTAGCTATTCTTATATCAGACAAAACAAACTTTAAAGCAAGAGCAGTTAAGAGAGACAAAGAGGGACATTATATAATAGCAAAAGGCCTTGTCCAACAGGAAAATATCACAATCCTAAACATACATGCACATAACACTAGAGCTCCCAAATTTGTAAAACAATTACTAATAGACCTAAGAAATGAGATAGACAGCAACACAATAATAGTGAAGGACGTCAATACTCCACTTCCAGCACTAGACAGGTCATTAAGACAGAAAGTTAACAAAGAAACAATGGATTTAAACTATACCTTGGAACGAATTAACTTAACAGATATATACAGAACACTTCATCCAACAACCACAGAATACACATTCTATTCAACAGTGCATGGAATTTTCTCCAAGAGAGACCATATGATAGGACATAAAACGAGCCTCAATAAATTTAAGAAAATTGAAATTATATCAAGCACTCTCTCAGACCACAGTGGAATAAAACTGGAAATCAACTCCAAAAGGAACCTTCAAAACCACATAAATACATGGAAATTAAATAACCTGCTCCTGAATGAGCATTGGGTCAAAAGCAAAATCAAGATGGAAATTTAAAAATTCTTTGAACTGAATGACAATAATGACAAAACCTATCAAAACCTCTGGGATATAGCAAAGGTGGTTCTAAGAGGAAAGTTCATAGCCCTAAACACCTACATCTAAAAGTCTGAAAGAGCACAAACAGAAAATCTAAGGTCACACCTCAAGGAACTAGAGAAACAAGAACAAACCAAACCCAAACCCAGCAGAAGAAAGAAAATAACAAAGATCAGAGCAGAACTAAATGAAATTGAAACAAAAAACATACAAAATATGAATGAAACAAAAAGTTGGTTCTTTGAAAACATAAAAAAAAATTGATACACCACTAGCAAGATTAACCAAGAAAAGAGAGAAAATCCAAATAACCTCATTAAGAAACAAAATAGGAGATATTACAGCTGACTCCACTGAAAGACAAAAGATCATTCAAAGCTACTTGTGGACACCTTTACACACATAAACTAGAAAACCTAGAAGAGACAGATAAATTACTGGAAAAATACAACCCTCCTAGTTTAAATCAGGAAGAATTAGATACTCTGAAAAAACCAATAACAAGCAGCCAGATTGAAATGGTAGTTTAAAAATTATCAATAAAAAAAAGTCCAGGACCAGACAGATTCACAGCAGAATTCTACCAGACATTCAAAGAAGAATTGGTACCAATCCTTTTGACGTTATTCCACAAGATAGAGAAAGAAGGAACCCTCCCTAATTCATTCTATGAAGCCAGCATCACCCTACACCAAAACCAGGAAAGGACATAACCAACAAACAAAACTACAGACCAATATCCTTGATGAATATAGATGCTAAAATCCTTAACAAAGTACTAGCTAACTGAATCCAACACCACATCAAAAAGATAATCCATAATCAAGTGGGTTTCATATCAGGGATGCAAGGACGGTTTAACATACGCAAGTCAATAAATGTGATATGCCACATAAACAGAATTAAAAACAAAAATCACATGCTCATCTCAATAGATGCAGAAAAAAGCATACAACAAAATCCAGCATCCCTCTATGATTAACACTCTCAGCAAAATCGGCGTACAAAGGACACACCTTAATGTAATAAAAGTCATCTATGACAAACCCACAGCCAACATAATACTCAATGGGGAAAAGTTGAAAGCATTCCCTCTGAGAACTGGAATAAGACAAGGATTCCCACTCTCACCACTCCTCTTCAACGTAATACTGGAAGTCCTAGATGGAGCAATCAGACAAGAAAAAGAAATAAAAGGCATCCAAATTGATAAAGAGAAAGTCACACAGTCATTGTTTGCTGACGATATGATTATTTATCTTGAAAACCCTAAGGACTCCTCCAGAAAGCTCCTAGAACTAATAAAAGAATTCAAGAAGGTTTCCAGATACAAGATTAATGTACGCAAATCAGTAGCCATTCTATAAACCAACAGTAACCAAGCAGAGAATCACATGAAGAACTCAACCCCTTTTACAATAGCTGGAAAAAATAAAATAAAATACTTAGGAATATACCTAGCAAAGGAGTTGAAAGACCTCTGCAAGGAAAATGACAAAACACTGCTGAAAGAAATCTTAGATGATACAAACAAATGGAAATATATCCCATGCTCATGGATGGGTAGAATCAATATTGTGAAAATGACCATACTGCCAAAAGCAATCTACAAATTCATTGCAATCCCCATCAGAATACCACCATCATTCTTCACAGAATTAGAAAAAGCATTCTAAAATTTACATGGAACCAAAAAAGAGCCCACATAGCCAAAGCAAGACTGAGCAAAAAAGAACAAATCTGGAGGCATCACACTACCTGATTTCAAACTATACTATAAGGCATAGTCACCAAAACAACATGGTACTGGTATAAAAATAGGCACATAGACCAATGGAACAGAATAGAGAACCCAGAAATAAATGCAGATACTTACAGCCACACCCAAATACTTTGACAAAGCAAACAAAAGCATATAGTGGGGAAAGGACACCCTTTTCAACAAATGGTGCTGGGACAATTGGTAAGCCATATGTAGGAGAATGAAACTGGATCCTCATCTCTCACCTTATACAAAAATCAACTCAAGATGGATTAAGGACTTAAACCTCAGACCTAAAACTATAAAAATTCTAGAAGATAACATTGGAAAAACCCTTCTAGACATTGGCTGAGGCAAGGATTTCATGACCAAGAACCCAAAAGCAAACCCAATAAAAACAAAGATAAATAACTGAGACCTAATTAAACTAAAGAGCTTTTGCATGGAAAAGGAACAGTCAGCAGAGTAAACAGACAACCCACAGAGTGGGAGAAAATCTTCACAATCTATACATCTGACAAAGGGCTAATATCCAGAATCTACAATGAACTCAAACAAATCCGTAAGAAAAAAACAATCCTATCAAAAAATGGGCTAAGGACATGAATAGACAATTCTCAAAAGAAGATATACATATGGCCAACAAATATATGAAAAAATTCTCAACATCACTAATGATCAGGGAAATGCAAATCAAAACCACAATGTGATACCACCTTACTCCTGCAAGAATGGCCATAATCAAAAAATCAAAAAACAGTAGATGTTGGTGTGGATGTGGTGAACAGGGAACACTTCTACACAGCTGGTGGGAATGTAAACTAATACAGCCACTATGGAAAACCATTTTGAGATTCCTTAAAGAACTAAAAGTAGAACTACCATTTGATCCAGCAATCCCACTACTGGGTATCTACCCAGAGGAAAATAAGTCATTATTCGAAAAAAATACCTACACACACATTTATAGCAGCACCATTCACAATTGCAAAATTGTGGAACCAATCCTAATGCCCATCAATCAACAAGTGGATAAAGAAACTGTGAGATATATATATATATATATATATATATATATATATATATATATATATACACACACACACATACATACACACACACACGTACACACCATATATATATACACCATATATATACCATATATATACACCATATATATACCATATATATACAACCATATATATACGCCATATATACACCATATATATACACCATATATATATATATATATATATACACACACACACCATATATTAACACTCTCAGCAAAATTGGCATACAAGGGACATACCTTAATGTAATAAAAGCCATTTTTATGGCTGCATAATATTCCATCATATATATGTAGTATGTATATACACCATATATATGATATATATACCATATATATACACCATATATATGATATATATACCATATATATACACCATATATATGATATATATACCATATATATACACCATATATATGATATATATACCATATATATACACCATATATGATATATATACCATATATATACACCATATATATGATATATATACCATATATATACACCATATATATGATATATATACCATATATATACACCATATATATGATATATATACCATATATATACACCATATATATGATATATATACACCATATATATATACAACATATATATATACACATCATATATATATGATGGAATATTATGCAGCCATAAAAAGGAATGAATTAACAGCATTTGCAGTGACCTGAATGAGACTGGAGACTATTATTCGAAGTGAAGTAACTCAGGAATGGAAAACCAAACATCATATGTTCTCACTGATATGTAGGAGTTAGGCTATGAGGACATGAAGGCATAAGAATGATACAATGGACTTTGGGGACTTTTGGGGAAGAGTGGGGGGGGGTGAGGGATAAAAGACTACAAATATGGTACAGTTTATACTGCCCGGGTGATGGGTGCACCCAAATCTCACAAATCACCACTAAAGAACTTAGTCATGTAGCCAAATACCACTTGTACCCCAATAACTTATGGAAAAATAAAAAATTTAAAAAAGAATTTAAAAGGGATAATCCAAAAATTAAATAAATAAAAATAGAGATTAAAAGAAAATATGTCAATATTAACAAAAACAAAGACTAAATTATAATATTAATAACAAAACATAGATTTCAGGGCATTTATACATATAAAACATATGAGGATATATAAATATCCTTTATATGTCTTTAAATGTTCTTCCATCATTATTAAATTATTAGATTACATAAAAATCTGTATCGACATTTGTTTTTTCTCTGAAATTCTAAGATAATTTTCTGTCATTCCTTGTTATTAATAACTCTACTTATTACCATTTCTTTTTTAATATAATTTCAACTTTTATTTTACATTCAAGGGGTACATGTGCATGTTTGTTACCTGGGTATATTGTGTAATGCTGAGGTTTCGGATACAGATCTCATCACCCAGGTAATGAGCATAGTATCCAATAGGCAGTTTTTCAATCCATGCCACCTTCCCTCCCTCCACACCCCAGTAGTCCTCAATGTCTGTTCCCATCTTTATGTCCATGTGTGAGTACTTATAAGTGAGAACATGCAGTATTTGATTTTCTTTTCCTGTGTTAATTCACTTATGATAATGACCTCCAGCTGCATCCATGTTGCTGCAAAGGACATGATTTCATTCTTTTTTATGGCAGCATAGTATTCTACGGTGTATATGTAGAACATTTTCTTTATCCAATCCACTGTAGATGGGCACCTAAGTTGATTCCATGTCTTTGCTAGTGTGAATAGCACTGTGATAAACCTATAAATGCACATGACTTTTGGGTATGACAATGTATTTTCCTTCAGGTATATACCCAATAATGGGATTGTTGGGTTGAATGGTAGCCCTGTTTTAAGATCTTAGAGAAATCACCATACTGCTTTCCACAATGGCTGAGCTAATTTACATTCCCACCAACAGTACATAAATGCTCCCTTTTCTCCACAGCCTCACAAGCATCTGTTATTTTTTGCCTTTTTAATAATACCATCCTAATTGGTGTGACATGGTATATCTCATTGTAGTTTTCATTTCCATTTATCTGAGGATTACTGATGATGAGCATTTTTTCATGTTTGTTAGCCACTTGCATGTTTTCTGTTGAGAAGTGTCTGTTCATGTCGTTTGCCCATTTTTTAATGGGCTTATTTGGTTTTTGATTGTTAAGTTCTTTATAGATTCTGGATATTAGACCTTTGTTGGACACATAGTTTGTAAATACTTTCTGCCATTCTGTAGGTTGTCTGTTTACTCATTGATAGTTTCTTTTGTTGTGCAGGAGCTCTTTAGTTTAACTAGGCCCCACTTATCAATTTTTGGTTTTGTTGTAATTGCTTTTGAGGACTTAGTCATAAATTCTTTCCCAAGGCCTATTTTCAGAACGGTATTTTCTAGGTTTTCTTCTAGGATTCTTATAGATTGAGGTCTTACATTTAAATCTTTAATACATCTTGAGTTAATTTTTGTATATGGTAAAAGGTAGGGATATAGTTTCATTCTTCTACATATGCTATCCACTGATTGAATAGGGAGTCATTTCCCCATTGCTTATTTTTGTTGACTTTGTTGAAGATAAGATGGCTGTAGGTGTGTGGCTTCATTTCTGGGTTCTCTCTTCTGTTCCATTGGCCTATATTCTGTTTCTGTACCAGTATCATGCTGTTTTGGTTACTGTAACCTTATAGTATAGTTTGAAGTTGGATGATGTGATGTTTGCCATTTTTTTTTTTTTTTTTTTTTTTTTTTTTTGCTTTGGATTGCTTTGTCTATTTGGGCTTTTTTTTTGGTTCTATATAAATTTTAGAATAGCTTTTTCTAATTCTGTGAAAAATAGCATTGATTGATAGAAATAGTATTGAATCCACAGATTGCTTTGAGCAGTATGGCCATTTTAATGATATTAATTTGGCATTTTTCTCTTTATCCTTAATGTTATAAACTCTTGCCATGATGTATATACATTTACTCTTACAACTATCCTTCTCAATAATCAAATTGAATATCTGATTAAGGATGTGTGCCCTGTGTTAAATTCTGAAACATTCTCAACTGTTTTCCCTTCAAATTTTCAGCCTTTCTTCCCATTCTTTTTATCTAGGCCTGTGACTAGTTATAGGGAGTGGCCTCTCAAGGTACCCTTCATGGATTTCAATACCTGTAAGATCTTACCACATTAATACATAGGAATCCACTTCATTCTTTTTGGCTACTACATAATATTACATGGTACAAATAGACTATAATTTATTTAATCATTCCTCTATTGATGAACTTTTTTATCACTCACCATACTTGTATTACATAACCCATTTTGCCAGATTGAACCACGATACCTAGTTAGGTTTGAATTTCAAATAAGTCAAAATTGTTCAAAATACTAAGTTTTGATCTTAAAATAGTATCAAAGTAACCTTATTTTAGTTGATGGCTATTTGGGTTGTTTCCAGTTTGGGGCTCTTATGAATAAAGCTGCTCCTAACATTCTTGGACAGCTAATTTTGTGGACTTAAGCATCTCTCTTGGGTGCTCTCTTTTTTGTTGGCACTCTATTTTTCTTATATGACTTCTTTCATTTGTGATTAAAGAGATTCTAGGATAAGTTAGAAGATAAACTTTTTGCAGATAGGCATTTGCCAAGACAAGGTTACTTTTTAGAGATAGGGTCTTATCATGCTACCAGGCTAGTCTCAAATTCAAGGCCTCAAGCGGTTCTCCCACCTTGGCTTCCCAAAGCGCTGAGATTACAAGCATGAGCCACTACACCCAGCCTGTCATTACAATTATATAAAACCAAAAATATATTGTCAACAGTTTAGAGGCAAGAATATTGACATATTAGCAGTAATTTTTCTATGATAACAGTCCTAGTTATTTACAGATTCCATATTTGCAAATTTACTTGCTTGCTAAAATTTATTTGTAACTCCAAAATCAATTTTCATGATCTCTTGTAAACATTGACAAAGCAGCAAATTATGTGAGTCACCTAAATTGTATTCTCCCAGCTGAGGTCAAAAATGAGACTATCTTTTTGTTCCAGCTCACATACTATAAACAAGTATCCTTTTCTCGATCTAGACAATACCACATTTTTAATTTTTGTGCTTTTTATTAGTGATTCCCCTACTTAAAATGGTCCCTCAGCATAGTGCTGAGGTGTCCTCTAGTGTCCCTAGTTGCAAGAATACTGGGATGTACCTTACAGAAAAAAATATGTACATTAGTTAAGCTTTGTTCTGATAAACTATAGTGTGGTTGGTCATGAGTTCAAGGTTAATACTCTATATATATACATATACATTTATATATACATATACATATATATACACATACACACACACATATATATATATATATATATAAACTGTCTTTAAACAGAAACACACATAAAACAAGGTTATATATTAATCGATGGATGAAAATATTGTGACCAGAGTCTGACAGGCAACTAACCTTGTATTTCTCCTAGAAGTAATGGTTCAATGTTTGCTGATGCAGTGTTCCAGGAGACTTTTATGGGATATAACTACCACAACTAAAAATCGACTATAGGGGAGAAAATTAGTGAACGTAGAGATCGCAGTGGAGAAGAAAGTAGGAAAGAGCTTTTAACTTTCTTGCCCAAAGTTACCTTCTACATATTTACTACTCTTATTACTAATTGAGCTATTTTTCAAGGGCACGGCCACCCGCGAAACCGAAAGAGCTAGGTTTGAGGTGGTTTTTACAATGCCACTTTAACAGTGAATGCAGGTGATGACATGCTTCCACCTGCCCTTGCAGGACAGTAGACTAGGAATCATATACAGGTAATGGGGACAAAAAGGAAGACCAACAGAGCTGACAGAAAGTCCTGCCTTTAAATAAACAGGACACCCAAAAAAACAGTTGAAAACATGTGACTCTTTTGGCAATGTTGCAGTTACTAGGAAAGCCCGGTTAGCAATATCACTGTCACTCAGTACCCCTCGGATCCTGACAGATGTCCATGGACTTTTCTTGACGGCAACCAGCCCCTTCCCACAGATCAACTTTTAAAACCTCAGGCAGGTGAAGACACAATTTCTTCTGAATACCAAGCTGTGTAACTCCCCAGCGTCATCTATATCTCACTTCTCTTAAATTCTGGCTGCAGTGATCAGATAAGGCTTAAGACAACACAAAATTAAGCATGAAAACTATATCAGACCCATAAGCCATAGGCCACTCTCCAGCCAAAAACAAACAAACAACAAAAAAACACTTACATAAAAACTTTTAAAAAGAAGCAATGTTACCCATGATAATGGTGTTGCACTTAAATTGCTCAATACCACCTTTCTGCTTCACTACGTACAACACTCATGATTATTTGATGGGTCTGTAAAGGGTTATTTTCTATATCTAGACATTTGCATTATAGTTAGGAGATTTTAGAAATGTTTTTTCCAAGACTTACCATTAAAGAAGCAACAACAGGCTGGGAGCAGTGGCTCACGCCTGTAATCCCAGCACTTTGGGAGGCCGAGACGGGCAGATCACGAGGTCAGGAGACCGAGACCATCCTGGCTAACACGGTGAAACCCCATTTCTACTAAAAATACAAACAAAATTAGCCGGGCATAGTGGCGGGCAACTGTAGTCCCAGCTGCTCAGGAGGCTGAGGCAGGAGAATGGCGTGAGCCCGGGAGGCGGAGCTTGCAGTGAGCCGAGATCCCGCCACTGCATCCTGGGCAACTGAGCAAGACTCCGTCTCAAAAAAAAAAAAAAAGCAACAACAAAACTTCAGTCTCACACCTACAAGTTTACTTTGGTTGTTACTCTTTAGTTTGGCTGATATGTGTCCAGGAAATTGTTATTTAAAAGAAAAAAAATAGGGAGGAGCCAAGATGGCCGAATAGGAACAGCTCCGGTCTACAGCTCCCAGCGTGAGCGACGCAGAAGACGGGTGATTTCTGCATTTCCATCTGAGGTACCGGGTTCATCTCACTAGGGAGTGCCAGACAGTGGGCGCAGGTCAGTGGGTGCGCGCACCGTGCGCGAGCCGAAGCAGGGCGAGGCATTGCCTCACTTGGGAAGCACAAGGGGTCAGGGAGTTCCCTTTCTGAGTCAAAGAAAGGGGTGACAGACGGCACCTGGAAAATCGGGTCACTCCCACCCGAATACTGCGCTTTTCGGACGGGCTTGGAAAGCGGCGCACCGCGAGATTGTATCCCACACCTGGCTCGGAGGGTCCTACGCCCACGGAGTCTCACTGGTTGCTAGCACAGCAGTCTGAGATCCAGCTGCCGGGCGGCAGCGAGGCTGGGGGAGGGGCGCCCGCCATTGCCCAGGCTTGATTAGGTAAACAAAGCAGCCGGGAAGCTCGAACTGGGTGGAGCCCACCACAGCTCAAGGAGGCCTGCCTGCCTCTGTAGGCTCCACCTCTGGGGGCAGGGCACAGACAAACAAAAAGACAGCAGTAACCTCTGCAGACTTAAATGTCCCTGTCTGACAGCTTTGAAGAGAGCAGTGGTTCTCCCAGCACGCAGCTGGAGATCTGAGAACGGGCAGACTGCCTCCTCAAGTGGGTCCCTGACCCCTGACCCCCGAGCAGCCTAACTGGGAGGCACCCCCCAGCAGGGGCACACTGACACCTCACACGGCAGGGTACTCCAACAGACCTGCAGCTGAGGGTCCTCTCTGTTAGAAGGAAAACTAACAAACAGAAAGGACATCCACACCAAAAACCCATCTGTACATCACCATCATCAAAGACCAAAAGTAGATAAAACCACAAAGATGGGGAAAAAACAGAACAGAAAAACTGGAAACTCTAAAAAGCAGAGTGCCTCTCCTCCTCCAAAGGAACGCAGTTCCTCACCAGCAACGGAACAAAGCTGGATGGAGAATGACTTTGACGAGCTGAGAGAAGAAGGCTTCAGATGATCAAATTACTCTGAGCTACGGGAGGACATTTAAACCAAAGGCAAAGAAGTTGAAAACTTCGAAAAAAATTTAGAAGACTGTATAACTAGAATAACCAATACAGAGAAGTGCTTAAAGGAGCTGATGGAGCTGAAAACCAAGGCTCAAGAACTACGCAAAGAATGTAGAAGCCTCAGGAGCCGATGCGATCAACTGGAAGAAAGGGTATCAGCGATGGAAGATGAAATGAATGAAATGAAGCGAGAAGGGAAGTTTAGAGAAAAAAGAATAAAAAGAAATGAGCAAAGCCTCCAAGAAGTATGGGACTACGTGAAAAGACCAAATCTACGTCTGATTGGGGTACCTGAAAGTGATGGGGAGAATGGAACCAAGTTGGAAAACACTCTGCAGGATATTATCCAGGAGAACTTCCCCAATCTAGCAAGGCAGGCCTTGCTAGATTCAGGAAATACAGAGAACGCCACAAAGATACTCCTCGAGAAGAGCAACTCCAAGACACATAATTGTCAGATTCACCAAAGTTGAAATGAAGGAAAAAATGTTAAGGGCAGCCAGAGAGAAAGGTCGGGTTACCCTCAAAGGGAAGCCCATCAGACTAACAGCAGATCTCTTGGCAGAAACCCTACAAGCCAGAAGAGAGTGGGGGCCAATATTCAACATTCTTAAAGAAAAGAATTTTCAACCCAGAATTTCATATCCAGCCAAACTAAGCTTGATAAGTGAAGGAGAAATAAAATACTTTACAGACAAGCGAATGCTGAGAGATTTTGTCACCACCAGGCCTGCCTTACAAGAGCCCCTGAAGGAAGCGCTAAACATGGAAAGGAACAACCGGTACCAGCTGCTGCAAAATCATGCCAAAATGTAAAGACCGTCGAGACTAGGAAGAAACTGCATCAACTAACGAGCAAAATAACCAGCTAACATCATAATGACAAGATCAAATTCACACATAACAATATTAACTTTAAATGTAAATGGACTAAATGCTCCAATTAAAAGACACAGACTGGCAAATTGGATAAAGAGTCAAGACCCATCAGTGTGCTGTATTCAGGAAACCCATCTCACGTGCAGAGACACACATAGGCTCAAAATAAAAGGATGGAGGAAGATCTACCAAGCAAATGGAAAACAAAAAAAGGACGGGTTGCAATCCTAGTCTCTGATAAAACAGACTTAAACCAACAAAGATCAAAAGAGACAAGGCCATTACATAATGGTAAAGGGATCAATTCAACAAGAAGAGCTAACTATCCTAAATATATATGCACCCAACACAGGAGCACCCAGGTTCATAAAGCAAGTCCTGAGTGACCTACAAAGAGACTTAGACTCCCACACATTAATAATGGGAGACTTTAACACCCCACTGTCAACATTAGACAGATCAATGAGACAGAAAGTCAACAAGGATACCCAGGAATTGAACTCAGCTCTGCACCAAGCGGACCTAATAGACATCTACAGAACTCTCCACCCCAACTCAACAGAATATACATTTTTTTCAGCACCACACCACACCTATTCCAAAATTGACCACATACTTGGAAGTAAAGCTCTCCTCAGCAAATGTAAAAGAATAGAAATTATAACAAACTATCTCTCAGACCACAGTGCAATCAAACTAGAACTCAGGATTAAGAATCTCACTCAAAACCACTCAACTACGTGGAAACTGAACAACCTGCTCCTGAATGACTACTGGGTACATAATGAAATGAAGGCAGAAATAAAGTTGTTCTTTGAAACCAACGAGAACAAAGACACAACATACCAGAATCTCTGGGACGCATTCAAAGCAGTGTGTAGAGGGAAATTTATAGCACTAAATGCCCACAAGAGAAAGCAGGAAAGATCCAAAATTGACACCCTAACATCACAATTAAAAGAACTAGAAAAGCAAGAGCAAACACATTCAAAAGCTAGCAGAAGGCAAGAAATAACTAAAATCAGAGCAGAACTGAAGGAAATAGAGACACAAAAAACCCTTCAAAAAATTAATGAATCCAGGAGCTGGTTTTTTGAAAGGATCAACAAAATTGATAGACTGCTAGCAAGACTAGTAAAGAAAAAAAGAGAGAAGAATCAAATAGACGCAATAAAAAATGATAAAGGGGATATCACCACCGATCCCACAGAAATACAAACTACCATCAGGGAATACTACAAACAACTCTACGCAAATAAACTAGAAAATCTAGAAGAAATGGGTAAATTCCTGGACACATACACTCTCCCAAGACTAAACCAGGAAGAAGTTGAATCTCTGAATAGACCAATAACAGGAGCTGAAATTGTGGCAATAATCAATAGCTTACCAACCAAAAAAAAGTCCAGGACCAGATGGATTCACAGCTGAATTCTACCAGAGGTACAAGGAGGAACTGGTACCATTCCTTCTGAAACTATTCCAATCAATAGAAAAAGGGAATCCTCCCTAACTCATTTTATGAGGCCAGCATCATTCTGACACCAAAGCCAGGCAGAGACACAACAAAAAAAGAGAATGTTAGACCAATATCCTTGATGAACATTGATGCAAAAATCCTCAATAAAATACTGGCAAACCGAATCCAGCAGCACATCAAAAAGCTTATCCACCATGATCAAGTGGGCTTCATCCCTGGGATGCAAGGCTGGTTCAATATACGCAAATCAATAAATGTAATCCAGCATATAAACAAAGCCAAAGACAAAAACCACATGATTATCTCAATAGATGCAGAAAAAGCCTTTGACAAAATTCAACAACCCTTCATGCTAAAAACTCTCAATAAATTAGGTATTGATGGGATGTATTTCAAAATAATAAGAGCTATCTATGACAAACCCACAGCCAATATCATGCTGAATGGGAAAAAACTGGAAGCATTCCCTTTAAAAACTGGCACAAGACAGGGATGCCCTCTCTCACCACTCCTATTCAACATAGTGTTGGAAATTCTGGCCAGGGCAATTAGGCAGGAGAAGGAAATAAAGGGTATTCAATTAGGAAAAGAGGAAGTCAAATTGTCCCTGTTTGCAGACGACATGATTGTATGTCTAGAAAACCCCATTGTCTCAGCCCAAAATCTCCTTAAGCTGATAAGCAACTTCAGCAAAGTCTCAGGATACAAAATCAATGTACAAAAATCACAAGCATTCTTATACACCAACAACAGACAAACAGAGAGCCAAATCATGAGTGAACTCCCATTCACAATTGCTTCAAAGAGAATAAAATACCTAGGAATCCAACTTACAAGGGATGTGAAGGACCTCTTCAAAGAGAACTACAAACCACTGCTCAAGGAAATAAAAGAGGATACAAACAAATGGAAGAACATTCCATGCTCATGGGTAGGAAGAATCAATATGGTGAAAATGGCCATACTGCCCAAGGTAATTTACAGATTCAATGCCATCCCCATCAAGCTACCAATGACTTTCTTCACAGAATTGGAAAAAACTACTTTAAAGTTCATATGGAACCAAAAAAGAACCCGCATCGCCAAGTCAATCCTAAGCCAAAAGAACAAAGCTGGAGGCATCACACTACCTGACTTCAAACTATACTACAAGGCTACAGTAACCAAAACAACATGGTACTGGTACCAAAACAGAGATATAGATCAATGGAACAGAACAGAGCCCTCAGAAATAATGCCGCATATCTACAACTATCTGATCTTTGACAAACCTGAGAAAAACAAGCAATGGGGAAAGGATTCCCTATTTAATAAATGGTGCTGGGAAAATTGGCTAGCCATATGTAGAAAGCTGAAACTGGATCCCTTCCTTACACCTTATACAAAAATCAATTCAAGATGGATTAAAGACTTAAACGTTAGACCTAAAACCATAAAAACCCTAGAAGAAAACCTAGGCATTACCATTCAGGACATAGGCATGGGCAAGGACTTCATGTCTAAAACACCAAAAGCAATGGCAACAAAAGACAAAACTGACAAATGGGATGTAACTAAACTAAAGAGCTTCTGCACAGCAAAAGAAACTACCATCAGAGTGAACAGGGCAACCTACAAAATGGGAGAAAATTTTCACCACCTACTCATCTGACAAAGGGCTAATATCCAGAATCTACAATGAACTCAAACAAATTTACAAGAAAAAAACAAACAACCCCATCAGAAAGTGGGCAAAGGACATGAACAGACACTTCTCAAAAGAAGACATTTATGCAGCCAAAAAACACATGAAAAAATGCTCATCATCACTGGCCATCAGAGAAATGCAAATCAAAACCACAATGAGATACCATCTCACACCAGTTAGAATGGCAATCATTAAAAAGTCAGGAAACAACAGGTGCTGGAGAGGATGTGGAGAAATAGGAACACTTTTACACTGTTGGTGGGACTGTAAACTAGTTCAACCATTGTGGAAGTCAGTGTGGCGATTCCTCAGGGATCTAGAACTGGAAATACCATTTGACCCAGCCATCCCATTACTGGGCATATACCCAAAGGACTATAAATCATGCTGCTATAAAGACACATGCACACGTATGTTTATTGCGGCATTATTCACAATAGCAAAGACTTGGAACCAGCCCAAATGTCCAACAATGATAGACTGGATTAAGAAAATGTGGCACATATACACCATGGAATACTATGCAGCCATAAAGAACGATGAGTTCATGTCCTTTGTAGGGACATGGATGAAATTGGAAATCATCATTCTCAGTAAACTATCGCAAGAACAGAAAACCAGACACCGCATGTTCTCACTCATAGGTGGGAATTGAACAATGAGATCACATGGACACAGGAAGGGGAATATCACACTCTGGGGACTGTTGTGGGGTGGGGGGAGGGGGGAGGGATGGTATCGGGAGATATACCTAATGCTAGATGACGGGTTAGTGGGTGCAGTGCACCAGCATGGCACATGTATACATATGTAACTAACCTGCACAATGTGCACATGTACCCTAAAACTTAAAGTATAATTAAAAAAAAAAAAAGAAAAAAAAATTGTGCTTTCATAAACTTGTTACATTACCATGGTCTACTAAGAAGGAAGTCTCAATCTGAATTTCCAAAATCTATGGTTGCATCTGCTGGCAACCTCCAGTACTGCTTTATAGTGCATTACAACTTTTCAAACAAACTTCATGGTATTTACCTGTGCTACATTTTCAAAGCGTTTCATTGCCTATCTGTAGGCCCAGATAAAAACAAACACTATGAGCACAAATATTAAACCATATTTGGTATGATAGACCCAAAATACTTTTGTATCTTAATCAAAATCACTCACACTATTAAAAATAAAAATCTTACTTGCTCAATGGCTTCCCCAAATGCTATGCTTCCCCATTTATCAGTTTCCTTCTTCGTTCTTCATCAACTCTGCTACCTATTGAATAATCTACACATGCTATGCACAAATCTTAGCTTATCCTTTTATATTCCATCCACTCTTTTTGTTAATTGCATAGCATGAACTACTTTCTCAGAGGTTAAATTCATCTACTTGACCACAGAGCAACACTGTTCCAGTTGTGTTCAATAGACGTTCTTTGATAATTACAATAATAAAACAAAATGGTTCTCTAAGGGCGGTAATGTTCTTTTATACCTTTTCTTAAATGATAGAGAAGGGAACCAAAGTTCTTGCCCTAATAGAGATTATGGTGTAAATAACTGCAAGAACCCTAGCAATTACATTCATTCACCACATAATGATGTTTTGGTCAAAGATGAACTGCATATACCATGGTGGTCCCAAAAGACTATAATGGAGGTGAAAATTTTTATATCACTTAGTGACATCAAAGAAAGCCATTGTAAAGTTGCCACTCAATGCATTACTCATCTGTTTGTGATAACGCTGCTATAAACAAACAAATCTGCTGCACTGCCAGTCATACAAAAGTATAGCACATACATTCATGTACAGTACATAATACTTGATAATAAACAAATATGTTACTGGTTTATATATAGTCATGCACTTTATAATGATGTTTTAGTCAACAGTGACTTCATATACAACAATGGTTCTGTAAGATTATACCATATTTTTACTGAAACTTTTCTATGTTTAGATACACAAATACCATTATAATTGCTAACAGTATTCAGTAGTAGGTAATGTAATATCACCAGTATTTTGTAAAAGAAAGACAGAAAATCTTTTCATAGGTCTAGAAGTACTTTTTTAATGAGTCTGGGTGCTGCAATGTTGGGTGCATATATATTTAAAATAGTTAGGTCTTCTTGTAGTATTGAACCTTTTATCACTATGTAATGCCCTTCTTTGTCCTTTTTTACTGTTGATTTAAAATCTGTTTTATTTTATATAAGAATAATGACCCTTACTCTTTCTCGTTCTCTGTTCGCATGATAGATCTTTCTCCAACCCTTTACTGTGAGATAGGTCTCTTGAAGACAGCAGATGGATGGGTCTTGGTTTTATATCCAACTTGCCAATCTGTGCCTTTTAAGTGTGGCATTTAGACCATTTACATTCAAGGTTAATATTTATATGTGAGATTTTGAGCCTATTGTGAAGCTGTTAGCTGGTTGCTTTGTAGTTTCTATTGTGTGGTTGCTTTATTAGGTCTATGGGCTATGTAATTAAGTGTGTTTTTGTGGTAGCAGGTATTGTTCTGTTATTTCTATGTTTAGAACTACATTGAGGATCTCTTATAAGGCTGGCCTACTGGTAACAAATTCCATTAGTGCTTGCTCATCCAGAAAAGATTTTATTTCTCCTTTGCTTATGAAGCTTAGTTTGGCAGGGTATGAAATTCTTGGTTGAAATTTATTTTCTATAAGAATGCTGAAAATAAGCCCCCCGTATCTCTTAGTTTCTAAGGTTTATGATGAGAAATCTGCTGTTAGCATGATGGGGTTCCCTTTGTACAGGATTTGACCTTTTTCTCTAACTGCCAGTAATATTTTTTCTTTAGCATTGACCTTGGACAGTCTGGTGACTATATGCCTTGGTAATGTTCATTTTGCATACTATCTTGCAGGTGTTCTCCAGATTTCTTGTACCTGGATATTTACCTTGATAACAGATTAGAAAATTTTTCTTGATTTATTTTCTCAAATATGTTGCCTTTTCTCCTTCTCTTTCAGGAATGCCAGTAATTCATAGGTTTGGTTGCTTTTTGCAATCCCATATTTCTCAAAAATTTTATTTTAAAAAAACCTGTATTTTTGTCTGACTGGGTTAGTTTGAAATACTAGTCTTCAAGCTCTAAAATTCTTTCTTCTGCTTGGTCCAGCCTACTGATAAAGATTTTAATTACATTTTTAAAGTTCTTAAGTAGGTTTTTCAATTCCAGGAGCTCTGATTGATTTCTTCTTAAGATATTTATCTCTTCCTTTATTTCCTGGATTTCTTTAGAAGTTTATTTGTATTGATTTTTAACTTGTCTTGGATCTCATTGAGCTTCCATGCAATCCTTTGAATTCTTTATCTGTGTTATTTCTGAGTTTCCATTTTGGTTAGGGACCATTGCTAGAGAGTTAGTGATATCCTTTGGTTGTGTCACTACATTCAGGTTTTTCATGGTGCCATATTCTTTGCACTTGTTTCTTCTCATCTGGAGACACTGGCACTAATTTTTATAAGTATTTGTGTGTGGGTAGTAGTTTTTTCTTTTCTTTCTTTTCCTATAATATAATTGGGGTTTTTCCTTCCCTTTCCCTTTTTTCCACCTCCTTAGTGGGTATAACTGTAGAGAATGCTGGGTAGCATCTTTTGGCTTTGCTTCTATAGCCCTATGCAGTTTTTTCAGCAAGTTTTACATTGGGCTGTGCAGTTCAACCTACAAGCCAGTAAATTGTGCTTATAAGTAAGAGCCAGGTATGGCCAACACATCTGGGTAAATGCTTGATTTTTTTTTTACTGGCAGAAGCTCTCTGTTGCCTCAGGCAATGGGCTCCCTTGTGGAATTCACAGTGATCTGAGCTCTCTTCTCAGCTCCAAGGATGGTGGGAGCCATGATAAGCAGAGCTAGACAAGGCAGGTCCACTTACAGGTTCCTCATTAGCAGTTACAAGCACTTACACTGAGGGATAATTTAGTGGGAGGCCACCAAGCATCCAGAGATGTGCATAGGCATGGAGTTTGGAGACCTCCTACGCCCCAAGTACTCAGCATGGGGATTGCGGGAAGCCTAAACTCCTAATCCAGGAGGGTGAGTGCTCTGGATGCCTGAAGATCTGCCTGGGCATGGGAGCAGAGGGTCCTACTTCACCAGTATCTCTGCACAGGAAGGGTGGGGTTGGTCAAGCTGCTGAACTAGATGAGTGGTTACTCTGAATGCCTGGAGATCTGCCTGGACATGAATCAGAGGAGGTCTCCCTGTACCAGGATCTCTGCACAAGATGGCTGCTAATCCAGGCAAGCTGGTCCTCTGAATTCCTGAATATCTGCCTGGGCGTGAAGTGGAGAGGGGCTTGATATACTGAAATTTATCTCCAGGAAGGGTGGGGTTTCTCAGGATGCTGAATCAGGCAAACAGGTGCTCCAAATGCCTGGAGCTCTTTTGGGCATGGAGTAGACAGGGTCCTGTTGCACCAAGATCTAGGACTATGAAGGGTAGGACAACTCAGACTGCTGAACCTGATGAGTGAGTGCTCTGAATGCCTGGAGGTCTGCCTGGGTGTGAAGCAGAGAGGGCCTCCCTGCACAGTGTCTTCACAGGAAGGGTGAGGTGGCTCAAGTTTCTGAACAAAGCAAACGGGTGCTCCAAATGCCTGGAGATCTGCCTGGGTGTGAAGCAGAAAGAGCCCTGTTGTACCAGGATCTCTGCACAGGATGGGTGGGGCATCTCAGGCTGTTAATTCGGGCAAGCCGGTTGGTGCTCTAAATGCCTGGAGATCTGTCTGGGCATGGAGCTGCTGCACCACAATCTATGTCCAGGATTGGTGGGGCATCTCAGGCTGCTGGTCCAGGCAATCAGGCACTCTAAATGCCTAGGTTTCCACCTGGGAGTGTAGAAGAGAGGAAACTGCTGTACCACAATCTCGGGAGAACAAGGTGGGATACCCAGCAATGGCACACACAGACTGGTTGCAGAGTGCAAAGCTGGCCCTGGCTACAAGTCTTACCTCCCAGGAGAAACTGCAGCTGTAGCAGCTCTTCTCGCACCCCCGGCTTTTGATAGGGAAGAGCACAACTTCAGTGCCAACTGCTGAGGCACTTTCCACAGTTCTGGCTCTGAAAGGCCCTTATGCCACTCCAGAGCAGGCCCTCCAATCTCTGGCCTGAGACTAATATGCTTGTGTGGCCATGCCGGTGGGTCACCAAAGAATGGCTGATTTTGTATGTACCTGGATTAAAAATTGTGTCCTGCTCTTGGTCTCAGGACTGGGAAAATGTCTGTAGCTTTTCCCAGTGTTTTTCCCTCAGAGCATCTCCATGTCCCTCCCCAAGTAACCTCCAGAGCTTGGGACAAACAAAATACTCCCCCTCAGCCTGGGTTGTTCAGATTCCCAATAGAAAGGTGAGTCACAGAGAGAGGCTCTCTGCCTCTCTCACATAATGGGGCTTCTCTCACTTTTATCAGCAAGATGACATCACTAGGGTTGTTTGCCGGCATTCTCCTTCCTGGGATCTGGGGTGTCCTTCACAATTCTGGTGGATTTTCATATTCCTTCTTAAATTAAAGGTCACAGAGTTGATCTTACTGTACTATCTTGCTATTTCCAAGTGGTTGAGGCACATTAAAAGCCTCTAATCTTCCATCTTTGAGTGCTGTATTATTTCACTGATGGCTTCTAAACATAGCTCTTAAGCCCCAGTCTCTCTCCTGAATGCCAGACTGGTATATTGAACTGCCTACTGGATATCTCTACTCAGATGTTTAGCAGACATCTCAAATATATCATGCTTCACACTGAAGTCTAAATCCTTTACCCTCCCAAGTTCAGCAAATGATACTATCAGTTACCCAGTTGCTCAGGGCAAAAATCAGACTTATTCTTAATGGTTCTTTTTCCTTTACACATACATGTCTTGTCATCTTTCCTTTCAAAATGCATCTTAAATCTGGACACTTTTCATCACCTCCACTGCTACCACCCTGTTCCCAACCACAAAAACCTCTTGCCTGGATTAATCTTGGAATAAATCTCCGTATCTCCAGTTTATCTTCCTACAGTGTCCTCGCCAAACAGCAACAAGAATGCCCTATATCAACATAAATAGAATTTTGTGACTTCTCTTAAACACTCCAAGGGTTTCCCATCACACAAGAATAAAATCCAAATTCCCAACACTCATGGCCTACAAAGGCTCCATATGAGTAGCATTTTTATGACTTTATCTCGTACCACTCTCCACTTTGTTCATGCTGCTCTGGGGATGCTGGAATGTCTTGCTGTTCCCTAAACACACCAAGCTTACACCAACCTCAGGTTCTCACTCAGCTTGGAATGTTCATCCCAAGATCTTCACGTGGCTCACTCCTTTGCCTCAGTCAGTCCTCTGTTCAAAGATTACCTTAGAGAAGTTTTCCATGACCTTCCTTTAAAATAAATGCCAATTGTTTAGCTTTTTACTTGTCTTACTTATCTTCACAGCTGTCATTACTTCCTGAAATGTTGTTACTTATATATCATGTTTGTGGCTAACAACATTCTTTGTTAGTGTTTGATCAATGGAATTTCTGTCCAGTAAGCACAGACTTGATACCAGAAGCCCTGTTCTGCTCCAAATGTGTAAAATACTTGTTAATGAAAATGGAAATTCATAGCTGAGTCTAACAAAAAGAGAGGGAAAATTCAGATGCCATAAATGAGGAGAAAACTCATATCCAAAGCCACAGGGCTGAGCAAGAGTTAAAACCATGAGGCCTTTTGGGAGGACATGCAGGCTAACAAAATGTTTCAGAGTTTTAGTCATAAAGCCAGGAGCCATGGAAGACATCCCATCCTTCAACCGAATCTAAGAAAACTCTACCATGTCTAGAGTTATAGTGCAGAAGTGAACCACATACCCCAGGCTATAGTGCGAAAAAAGTCACCAGAAAGAGTGTCAAAGCCCTCAGGCAAGCCACATACATAGCACACCTAAATGGTACATAAGATGCAAGTGAAAACACTAGTATAAAAACTAATTTGAGGCCAGGTGCAATGGTTTATGCCTGTAATTCCCAACAATTTGGGAGGCTGAGGTGAGGGGTTTGCTTGAGCCCAGAAGTTTGAGATCAGCCTGGGCAACACAGGGAGACCCCATCTCTCCAAACAGTGTTTAAAAAATTAGCTGGGCTTGATGGCACATGCCTGTAGTCATAGCTATTCGGGAGGCTGAGGCAGGAGGAATCAAGAATCACTTGAGCCAGAGTTGAAGGATGCAAAGAGCCGTGTTTGCACCACTGTACTCCAGCCTGGGCAACAGAGTGAGATTCTGCCTGAAAATAAAAAATAAAGAATTAATTTGGAGCCATTGAACCCAACAGATTCCCAGCAGAAGCTATGGTGAAACCATCCTAGAGATGTCTGCTTAAGGCACTCAGAAAACTCTTGGGTAAAATATCTCCCACCAAAAATGAGCTTGTTCATAAAAATAACAAAGTGCATGAAGAAAACCCACTACCATGCACAAAGGAAAACCAACATCATTAGAAATATTCAGGGATGGAACAAATAGAAAAACTCATCCAGGAAGAACTAGAGATTATACAGCTAAATCAAAAAGGGGCTTTCAAATAATCATGTTTTAAAATGTTTAAATTAGTAATGTTAAATTAGTAAATTTAAATTAATACAACCATTATGGAAAATAGTATGGAGGTTGCTCAAAAAAACTAAAAATAGAATTACTATATAATCCAACCATCCAATTTCTGGGTATATTTCCAAAGGAATTGAAACCCATATGTCAAAGAGATATCTGCATTCCCATGTTCACTGCAGCATTATTCACAATAGACAAGAAATGGAATTAATGTAAGTGTCCATCAACAGATGAATGAATTTAACATGTACTATATATACAATGAAATACTATTCAGCCTTTAAAAACAAAATTCTGTCATTTGCAACAATGAGGTTGAACCTGAAGGATAGTATGCTACGTGAAATAAGCCAGGCACAGAAAGACAAATAGTACATGATCTCACTTATCTGTGGAATTTTAAAAACTTAAATTTATAGAGTAGAAAGTAGAATGGTGGTTACCAGAGGCTTAGGAGTATGGGTCGGGGAGGAATGGAATAGGGAGTTGGTCAAAGGGTACAAGTTTCAGACAAACAGGAGAAATGAGTTTTGAGATCTATCGCACAGTAGGGTGACTATGGTCAGTAATAATGTATGGTATATTTTAAAATAGCTAAAAGAGTAAACTTCAACTGTCTCACCACAAAAAACAATAAGTGAGGTGATGGATATGTTAGTTGGCTTGATTTAATCATTCTGCATTCTAAATTCAAAACAACAACAAAGTCTTTCTTGTGTTTTAGAGAAAGCAATTTCTGTTTGCAAGGTAGGACACAAAGTTTTCTATATATCTCTGTATCTATTAAATTTATTTTGTTGACTATAGGCTTCAAATCCTTTATATCCTCACTTTTAGTTTAATTTTATCTGTAAATCTCCATAATTTTGTTTCTAATCATTATTTTCTTGTATTTCTAAGAGGTTTTTTTGTGTGGTTTTGTATGTTGCGTTTTTGAAAAATAAATTTATGGACATGGTCTCTTACAGGGCTAGATCCCCATGTCTTCACTGATAAAATTGAGCCATTCGAAATCTTAGATTCTTTCTTTGCTTTATTCTATGTGTGTAAACATTTCTCTTAATTTTACTCAAAGTCAGACATAAAGCTAAAATCATTTTAGCTTCAAACACCATCACATGTGTAACCAAAGCATAAAGTTCTGTTGGGAAATTAAGGCAATTCTTCCTCTTACTCACTTATTCTTGTCTTTTCTAAGAACTACAAATAGACGTTATGATTGCAAATTGTGGAACATCAACTGAAAGACTATGAAAATATCATATCAAAGTATCCAATTTATTAATGAAGAGGAGCCAAAATTCAGTAGTGTTATCAAGTGGCAACATTTTATTTTTCAGAATGTAAAATCCCTGTGCATATTGAGTACAAAAATGGCATCATTCTCTACCCTTTCCAGATCCATGCCCTGTGTAATATGTCTTTGCATCAACACCCATTGAGGTGAAGTCTATTTCCCCACCCTTCGAATCTGCACTTGCCTTGTGATTTGCTTTAGCCAATAGAATATGCCAGAAATTACACTTTGTCAGTTCCAAACCTAGACCTAAAGAGGCCTTGCACACTTCTACTATCCCTTGGACCTCTGCTTCCACTATGAGAGTAATCCCAGATTAACCTACTGGAGAATGAGAGACCATGTGGAGCAGAATCAAACTGCCAGCTGACTGCAAATGCATGAGTAAACCCAGACAAAATCACTCAAACCAATCACCCAGGTGTTCCACAGACACAAGAGGAAAATATATGTTTATTGTTGCATGGCACTGTATGTTGTGTTGTTTGTTGTATAAAAGTTTTGTGATTGTTTGTTTTGCAGCATTATGTTGACAACAAATAACTGGAAAAGTTCCCAAATCATTTACTGCACTGGATGTAAATTCACTTTTCATAAAACTCATTCATATATTTATTTTTGTTGCTGTAGTTCTCATGTTGTTGTATTATTCATTCGTTGTTGTTTCTATTTTACCGAATAATATCTTTGCTTTGTTGAAACTTTGTGAGTTCGAATTTAGTTTGTCTGTTTGGTAGGGGAAGTAATTTTTCTTCATGCTTCCTTAACAGGTGTTGTGTGAGGACTTAAATTAAAGGACTGTGGTTGCTAGAAAGTCACCTCTATCATCTAAGTTCTCAGACATCTGATAGCCACAAAGGTAAATATAGCTGCCTTCCTTGCTGTGTGGATCAGCAGAGTCAAACATAAACAGGGAACCTGCCAACACCCGCCACAAACATGCCTTCGAGCCATAAAAGGTACCATGTTTTGAAAATACCTGAAGAATGAAAAAGAGAGGAAGAGAAAAAAGAAAAAAGAAGGAAGGGAAGGGGAAGGGGAAGGGAGGAAATACTACCATTCTCTCACAGGAGCTCAATCTCAAACAAGTAAAATGGAAATGTAATTAGCTGGCTGATCACATTTATGATTTCCAAAAAGCAGTGAGAATCATGTGATTCTCTATTTTGCTACATATCCTGGGCACAATATTTGATGACCCATCTCTGTGGGGTAAATAGTATTTTCCAAGTTGAGAAAAAAAAAATTGATGCTGAAAAGAATTCTCATAAAAGAAGTTCAAAATTCTGGCTTGGGTGGGGTTAAAAATAAATAAATAAATACATATTTTTAAAAAGAAGATTCGATTTACTTGAGTCTTGTTTCCATTGCATCTACAATAGGTATTGTTTTGTTAACCATATTTCATATTATATTTCCATAAATAATTTTAAGCAGCACATATGCCAAAGCAGAAGTAGAAATAGGGTTGAAACTGACATTATAAACTATTTCACATGCGTCTCAGCTCATGATTTTTACATTTTTCAAAATTATTGTTGTCTACTGTAGAAAATTTAGAAAACATGGGCAAGCAGAAAAGAAAATTTAAGTTACCCATAATTCTAGAATGCAGATTTATTTTATATATAAATATATGCTTTTTCTAAACATATATCCTCATATATTGATAGTGAATATATTTCATATGTTACATGCTAATTTTTTCACTTAACATTATATTTGAAACCTTCTCCATGTCATTAAAAATTGGCAAGATCATTATATGGACATAGCATCATTTGTACAACCATTTTCTCATTGTTGAACATTGATTTAATTTTTTTCACTATTTCATCACAAGCATCCTTATAGCTGAGTTTTGAGCACATCTGTGATGTTTGAATAAATTCCTTGAATAAATTTCTCCATTCCTGTTAATATGCTTTTAAGCTAGTCTTAACAGCATTTTATAGAACAACCCTTATCTCCCAGAGTTAGAATATGTTTGTCCTTGACAATCACTTTGGTGTTGCAATATTGATTCAAGTATTGCTCTCCTTGGCCCTCTTCCTTCCATGACTTGATTTCTTCTGAGTTGTTTACACTTTGAAAGGGCACTCAACAAATTAGAGTGGGAAAATGTTTCTCTCAGCACCTTTGCTTCCTAGTCACTGCAATCTTTCTCTTCCAAAATTCAAAATCTCTAATGCCTCCATCAATCACCCCTCATTAGCAGATTAGAAAGCTAGGCCATTAACTAATTCATACCAAGTTTTAAATCCCTAAAGATGTTTAATGTGTCATCTCTTTAGTGTTGCAGTATTTATCGATGGAAAAAATTTATTATCCAACAGAAATATAACTTCCAAGGATAAGAAATAGGTCCATTTAGGAAGTTTAAGGTGAAAGAACTTCCCTGGTATGCTTGGATTTATAGGATGTGAAATGTTAAGTTTAAAAATGCAAGTGGCGAGTGCAAACAGCACGTGCAGTATGTTCTGGTTGTATTAAATATGTGTTGAGGGGATATACTTTGCTTTTATAAGCATAGAATAACTACAAAGATGCACAAGAAACAAGTAACAGTCATTGATTTTGGAGAGGAAAACTAGGGGATTGAAAAACTAGAATGGGCGAAGATTACTTGAAATCTAAAATAAAATATTTACATACTTTATTATATGTATTAATAAAACATAAAACATTTCTTGCCTTAAAAATTCTATGCCTGTGTATGCATTACATATTTCAAGAAATTCTAATTGAATTTTAAAAAGTTCATGATATAAGCTACTACTTACTTCATGAATAGACAACTTCTACAAAGATTTGAAAGAAATGTTTGACACATTATGTCAACCCATTCCTCATGCTCCCAAGAGAGATATGGAAACCAAGATACTTCAGCCAGAAAAGATGCCATCTGACTCACAGAAAAAGTCATCAAATCAAACTCAGTAGAGAAGAGAGCAAATATTGGAAATGAAAGGGACCAAGGGGATGAAGTCCATTCTTCTCAAACATGAAGATCACACACTCTTCCAGTCCAATGGTTAAATTCAAACCAGTTTCTTATTTTCTGTCTAATGCTCAGTTTATGGTGGGATAAAGGGGGAAAAAGACCAAAAGACAAATTGGTATATTATTCCAGTAGATAACCATCAGTATAAGAGAAGGGAGCATTCAGAAGATCAATTTTCAGCCCCCAAGACCATTTATTTCACACTTCTGTCATCTCTGGTTCCCTTTCCAGCATTCTGTCAACAGTTTCTATCTGCCAAAGACACACATTTAGTATCCAAAAGGAATGATAAAGGATATCCAGCTCCGCACCTATGGAGTTTAGGTTTGGCTCTAAAAATAAAACTATTTGTATATTTTCAAAGAAGGGCAAAAGTTAATCAAACCGTTTTTTGAACGTGCAATTTTTGCATTTTACAAATCAAATAATTAGCATGTGAAGATAGCTGTTACATCTTGCATATCGTCTCAGTGAGATTCAGGCATGTCTTCATTTGTTTACTGGCCTCCTACTAAAGGAGGGGGTTACTAGTGACTCGGGATAGAAGGATGGATAAGAAATGCCAGCAAGGAGATTTTTTGGCTGATAGAAAAAAACAAAGCAGTATATTGTCAATTATATTTTAATGTAGCCCAGCCCTAATAGAAGTGTGCCCAGGAAATTAGGGGCACAGAGAGGCAGACTCCAGATTAGCAGGGTCAAGAGAAAGATTTCCAGAAGGAGTGACAATGATCTGGACTCTAAGGGAAGCAGGAAGTATAAGGATAAAGAATTAGAGAAAGAACACTCACATGAGGATTCCACTGTGGATGCTGAGTACCTGCTGTGATGGCCCTGACCCTCTTTACTCCCTCCTCCAGTCCTCAGACTTCCCTCTCCCTGTTCTGAACTGCAGGGGCTGCCTGGCCCCCGCAGGCTGCATTTCCTAGGCTCTGTTAGCCCCCGAGATTCAGAACAGAGAAAGGAATTGCTGAATGAGGGATCTGGAAGGCAAATAGACCCAGGGCCATGCCAGCAGGTAAGTAATATCCACAACAGAATCCTTGTTGGGTTTGTCCAACAAATAGTGGCAGGAAATTCAAAGGCAGAAGGGACAAAGAAGCCAGGTTCTTCTTACCTGCCTTGGACATTATCTCCAACCCAGATAAGTCCCAATGTGATTCCTGCTTTTGCTGAACAGACCCTCTGAGATCCCAACTTAGACGAGCTGATCCTTTCAAGCTAACTCCCTCATTCCCTCCTGCCTGACAAGGGATGGTAAGGGTTTCCTGTTTTTTCCGATCTCTGATGGCTTTACTGGTTCCTGTTTGGTTTCTCAGTTCATCCATCACTTGTGTCTGCAATTCTCTGCTATCATTATTTCCTGTGTCACTAAAGTCTCCCTGTTTGAAATACTCAAGAAGTTTCCTGGTGAGACCTTGGGGAACAAACTGCCTACCATGATCTGAGTTTCTCAAGCAAAAGAATGGGTCTTTAAACTGCTTTGTCCATAGTACATAAAGAAACTGAAACACCAAACATATACAACCATGGAATACTACACAGCCATAAAAAAGAATTAAATCATGTCCTTTGCAGCAACATGGATGGAACTGGAGAGCATTATCCTAAGCGAACTAACACAGTAACAGAAAATCAAATACTGCATGTTCTCATGGTGGAAGCTAAATATGAGTACACATGGATACAAAGAAGGGAACAACAGACACCGGGACCTACCTGAGGGTGGAGGGTGGGAGGCAGGTGAGAATCCCAAAAACTGCCTATCAGATATTATGCTGATTATCTGGGTGACAAAATTATCTGTACACCAAACCCCTGTAATTTGCAACTGACTCATGTTTAACAAATCTGTACATTTACTCCTTGAATCTAAAATTAAAGTTGGAAAGAAAAAAAAAAAGAATCTGAAACACCAAGAGGAAAAGGAAGAGAGAGGACAGAGGACAGTATGGAGAGAAGAAAAAAATGAAAAATCAACATTAAGAAGGTCCTCATTTTCAGACCAAAGGAACTATGTACAGTCTTTTACAGCCATACTTATTCATGTGATATCCTGACCCATCATAGGCATCGATATCTTGCATGACCAAGGAATGACTGTAATGCACAGTTGTCTAATAAGATGCATAATGCCTAATCAGTGGTGAGAGGTAGATGGGATCTTCAAAAACCTTGTCTGTTGAAGGGTCTTTCTGTGATGTGGATGCCTCTTGCCCTATTAAGAAAGAGAGGAAAGCCCCAACTGCTCTTGGTTGACCAAACCTCAAAGAAAGATCAAGCAGCTGCTGAAATCTGGCCTTTGTCTTATATTGTATATACTTCCCTATGTGAAGATAAGCTCATCTGTATCATTCATGCTCTAAATGACAAAATGTACCTGTTTATCACGGCAGGCCAGCCGGTCACTGATCAAGCTCAAAAGTCCCGTACTTAATACCCATGTTCTGTTCATCCTATTTCCATGCTGCCTCAAAATGCAGAGGAAGGAACAGCCAAACTCAACTACTGACAGTGTGCAGCATGAAGTCACATGAAGACCTTGACCCTTCTGAAATGCAGGAGTAAAACATAAGGATCATGTTTATCCCACATCAGTTTCCTGTCTACACTGTTTATTTTTAAGCAGTAAACATACTTGGAGGGTAGTGATATAGCCTCTAGAAGAATTACTAAGAAATAAGATACAATTTCTGTAAATCTTTAGAGGAGTATTGATGTAAAATTTTCAAATACAATGTGGACATACTTTTTCCTTGGGCCATAGTTTTGTAGGTTTGTGTATGAGAAGTTCCGGTGACAGATTTGTGGTCTTTTCCAACATAAGCAGAGTCAAAATATAAAGATTATTGCTAATTTTGACTAACCACATCTTCAGTTATTTTAAGGAAAGGATTTTAAAGTCCTTTCTTAGTCATAACCAATTAGTTGTGTTTTTAGAATAATTTCGTATTTCTCCCATGCATCTTTTGTGCTGGCTTTACTTTCTATTGGATGATGTGCTGATGTGCCGATGTAAAATGACTCCAAATGGGGCTGTCCCAGAAACTACTTTCCTGATGAGACCTTGGGGAACAAACTGTCTACAAGATCTGAGTTTCTCAAGCAAAAGAATGAGTCTTTAAATTGCTTTGTCTTTAAACTGCTTTGTACATAAAGAATCTAAAACACCAAACAATTACAACCATGGAATACTACACAGCCATAAAAAAGAATTAAATCATGTCCTTTGCAGCAACATGGATAGAAAACAATCCAGGAGTTTGGCAGCCTGCAACTGTTTCTGGAGCCACAAGATTTTCTGGTGCATCTCCAGTCTACCCAGTTGCCAACTGAGCCCATGCCCAGCCTTTGTCAAAAAGGCCACCAGATTCAAAACGGACTATTAGCCTTGATCCTACATCAGCCACCCTTCTGCGACCTTCACCAAACCTTATGTGACTTTTATTAGGGCTTGGATGGCATAAACCTTTATTTCTCCATCTGTAAAATTGTTCACTCACATAGATGTAAGAAAAACATCATGAAAAATTAAATACTGAAGAGCTCTGAAAAAAGTAAGTGAACTATGTACACACAAGGAAGATATGATGATTATTCCAAAGTCACCAATTACCATGCCACTGGTCATGCCCCTGCACTTTGCTAAGCCTAGGTCTTCTTACTGGTAAAATCATCATAATGATACCATACATCCCATGGATATACATAGGATTGACTGAAACTCAGTATGCAAAGCTGTTTGTTCAGTGCCTGGCACATAGTAAGCCTCAAAAACTGTTAGCAATTATTATTAGAAGCAATAGAATGGTTGACTCATATTTATTGACACCTAATATGTGCAAACCACTTGTACACATACAAATGAATATTGGACATAGCTCCTTGCCTTGAGAAACATACAAATATTTAAAGGTAATTATGTGTGCATAAAAGTGTAATAGTTGAGTACAGTGTATTCTGGGTGAGGCAGATGACATAGCATGAAGAATTTCAGAGACTCCAGGATGGCGCAAAGGGACTGTAGAAAACCTGAGCTGGGATTGGAGTTGTCGAGTTGTAGCAACAGGATGGGGCCTTCTTGCCTCTATTTCAGTATTCGACATGGGTCACCTGGGAAGGGGGTGTGGCCTTGGACAAGGCCATTCTGTTCAGCCAGGGCAATTCCCAAAGAATCCTGTCTGCTGTTGGTTATCTTAAGGCAGCACTTTCAGCTGATGTGGGCATAAGTGTCTTGTCCATGAAGGTGGATCTAAGAGGCTCAGCACAGCATCTGTACATGAACCCCAGGAATTATTCAAAGTAACTGTGACTGATTCAGGAGTTCTCCTGACTGGGGCATAGCTGGCCTTCAAAGTCCTTCCAAGGCAGCCCCAAATTGAATCAGCAATGATTCATCTGGAATATCCAGAACATCACACTCAGGGCACCCCAAGGCCTGCTGTTTTCCAGAAATCCCCCACCTACCCTAGGAGGGAGATACTCAAAGATGACATGTCCCCAGATAGGCCAGTGTGCGTCAGCTCTCTGAGGGTGAGAGAATCAGGAACTTCTGTTCAAATCCCCATGTCCGTAAAAAAACAATCCCAAAATGGCTCTAAATCGCTTCATTGAAATTCAATTCATCACAAGCAAATTCTCTGATTGCCAAGTCACCAAATGAGCAATTCTCTGCGTTTACCTGGTTTTTTATACCTAGCTATATTTGATACATTTTCATGTTGTCTTCATATTATTGTTTTAAAGGATATTCCATTTCTTTGCTCCATCTCTCCACGACTATAGTTGAGGGCTAAAAGACAAAGAGAAGGAGAGGACTAGGGGACCAGCGATGGGGCAGAAAAGAAGGGTCCTGAGACATAAGAATCTGTAATATATTCGTGGACATATTTTTGAATATGTAAAATTATTGCAACTGCATTCTTATACCTCCTCCCGGTTATCCAGAAAGTGGGCTTTAATGGACTTTCAGCAAATTGTCCTGCCTTCTTCCCCACAAACCCATGCACTGCCAATAATGAGTCCTGGAATCCTAGGAATTAGGGTTGGAAAGGATGTCAGAATCCTCTCATCCAGTGAAGCCACTGCAGCATGAGTCACTGAGTCCCTCCGTGGACACCCTGGGTGAGGTCCTATGAGAGCACTTGAGGCTGCCTCTCCTGCCATTGAGCAGCAACCCTCTTTAGAAGCACCCCTGGGCCCAGCACTCTCACTCCTGGAACCCTGCAGAATACTGCCCACCACATCCAGATACTGTTCCCTCAAGTGGTAAAAAAGAGCTCTCATATGCACCTGAGTATCCTCATTCACCAACTAAAACATCCCAGGCTCCTACCAAGAGCCTATTTTGCATGGCTTCCTGTCCGTTTACTTTCCCAAATGTTCACCTCTGAATCCCTTCCAGTGAACTAGCTTCCTCTTAATGGTGTTGCTGCTATCTTTTCTTCTTACTATTAAAAGGACAAATGTTAAAATGTTTATTATAACATTTATAAATATATATATTATATATATAATACATAAATATTTCTTAAATATTTTTTGTATTTTGTTTGTAGCAAAAACATTAGAAACCACAGATAGAAAAGAAAAGTACCCCTTGTTCGTGATGGTCATCTGTATTTTGCCTTCGCAGTTCTCCTCTCCCTATCTTTGGTAATAGCACAGGTTTCCCATTATTTAAAGAATCCTGCCCTCCTCTCGCCAAGGCTGGTCGTATAACCCATGCTAGGTCAATCAGACTCCTCCTAGGGTTCTGAATCTTGAAGGGAGATGTATAAAGATGAGAAAATGCTTGGAGCTGATGACCCCCTGCACGAAGGGCTCTCCTTTATTTCTCACTACCCACATCTGAGAGATGTTTTTAACACTGACCTTCTAATTTCTGGGTCTTGGGCTTTCCCTCAACTCTGTATCCTACCCCACAGCTTCCAGAACATTCCATATTTATTTAAGTTACTCAGAATTGTTGTTTGAGGCATAATCCCAACATCTGGAGATAACCAACAGTTAACATATTGTGGATAGCATTCTGTGGTTTTTTTTTCCTTATTTTGATTAAAAGAGAGAGAGAAGTTAAAGGAAGGCAGGAAGCAGGTAATATGGAGATATATTTTTTCCAAAAATAAATGGAACTGTATAAACTGGTTGGCACATTCCTTTTCAATTGGACAAAATGTGGTGATCATCTTGCAATTTTCTCCCTCTAACATTTTTTTTCAATCATGGCCCTGGAGTAAAGGCATAACCCAGCACTTCATAGATACAAAGACCAAAACACACTCTCAACTCTCCAGGAGCTCACAACCTGGTTAAGGAGTTACTCACTAACACAAATAATACTAGAAGAAAGAGCTACAGAGAGTTTTCCCCCAGAAAAATCAAGACTTTAGGTGCTCAGAGCAGGGAGCTCTGTATTCCAGCATAGACTTTATCACTTGAGAAGGCAGGAACGAGGTGCTTCCTCCACGGGCTGTGCAGGCTTAAGCTAATCAGTCACCTCTCAGCCCCTCCAGCAGCAGCCATGTTGTCGCGTCTGGTCCTCCTCTGATCTGTCAGCACCGGGAAACGTGGAACTCACACATTCTGAAGTTCCCAGTGTAATGGGGAGTGGTGGGAATTGAACTTTGGTCCTTAAGAGTCCCTGGCCCAGGAGGCTATCTCTAAAACAAGAAAGATTTCTGGGAGAATCAAGTCGCACCTTGTCCTGACACTCAACTCACAAAGTGCTGGGATGCTGGCTCATATCCAGTCTGAAGAGAAAACTTCAGTGCCCACAGACATCCTAAAGGGAGGAGGCAAGAGATGGGACAGTGAGGGCGATGACTGAAACTGTACAAGAGAAAGACTGGTTCCTGCTCATTGAAATGTAAGTTAGTAAGGCCATTATGAAGAACAGTATGGAGGTTCCTCAAAAAATTAAAAATGGAAGTACCATATGATCTGGCAATCCCACTTCTGGGTATATATCCAAAGGAAATGAAGTCAGTATGTCAAAGAGATATCAGCACTCCCATGCTCACTACAGCACTATTCACAAGAGCCAAGACATGGAATCAACCCAAGTGTCCCTCAATAGGTGAATAAAGAAAATGCAGTCCATATACACAATGGAATACTACTAAGCCTTAAAAAGATTAAAATCTTATATTTTTAACAACATAGATGAACCTGAGGACATTATGCTAAATGAAATAAGCCAAGCACAGAAAGACAAGTATTACATGATCTCATTTATATGTGGAATCTAAAAAAGCCAAATGCACCGAAGAAGAGGGGAATGGTGGTTGTCAAGGGGTTGGGGGAAGGCGATGGAATTAGGAGATATCAGTCAATTGGTACAAAGTGTCAGTTATGCAGGATAAATAAGTTCTGGACACCTATTGTACAGCATACTGACTGTAGTAATAATAATGTATTGTATACTTAAAAACTGCTAAGAGAGTAGAGCTTAAATGTTCTCACCACCAAAAATGATAAGTACGTGAGACGATGCATATGTTATATAATAATTAGCTTGTACACCATAAATATATATAATTTTTGTCAATTATATCTTACTAAATTTGGGGCAGGGGGAAGAGACAGCAACTGGTTATAGAAGAAGCTCCTGGAGACATAATTTGGATTCCTCTATAGAACCTCCATGGGGACTCCTGATTCCTCCCTTCCTTTGGTGCCCCTGTGCCCTCTCTATGTGACCACTCAAAGCATATCTGTACACTAAGGGTATTCAGGGTGGCTGGAGTCATGCTTTCTGAGGCATGAGTTTCCAAGTTAATTTTTTTTTAAGATGGAGTCTCACTCTGTCACCCAGGCTGGAGTGCAGTGGCACTATCTCAGCTCACTGCAACCTCTGCCTCCTGGGTTCAAGCAATTCTCTTGACTCAGCCTCCTAAGTAGCTGGGATTACAGGCATCTGCCACCATGCATGGCTAATTTTTGTATTTTTAGTAGAGACGGGGTTTCACCATGTTGGCCAGGCTAGTCTCGAACTCCTGACCTCAAGTGATCCACCCGCCTTGGCCTCCCAAAGTGCTGGGAACCAAGTTAATTCTTAAACTGGAAAAATGTGGAGACCCTCTGCACTCATCCCCCCCCCCTTCAGGATGACATTCAGTGAACTCCTTGCTTTTGTCTATTCGAAAGACCAGAAAACTGAAATTATAGAGGTTTACAGACTTAAGTCTTCTAGGTACCACTGGATCTGGGAGTACACAACCTGATGCCTAACACCAGATCAGAGCAGCCCCCCAGCCTCACAATCTCACTGCAAGGGACCTGCAGAGTGTCAGAAATCCCCAAAGGGCTCTGGGGTCTCAGAGTGGCAGCCCAGACAGGAGGCTTCTCACAGTGTTGGCAGGGAGTGAGGCTGGGAGGAAGACGGAAGAGGCCCCAAATCCAGCTGTATGATCTTGAGAGAGTTGCTCAGCTTTTCTTATTCTCACCTGTAAAATAGGTAGAATGATAATCTCCACTTTGTGGGCTTATTTTGGGATTTCAACAAGCCCAAAAGCTTCTCAGTGCATTGCCTGGCATATGATAAAAGCTGAGAAAATGTCAGCTACCATTATATTTTTTTCCATGCTCAGACTGGCAAAAAGTCCCAAATACAAAGCAGAGAGGTCATTATTTCCCTACCTCAGCCTTCCTTAGTGTTGATGTCATGAATCAGCTCTGTCTAGTGGAAGAACCTTTTGTGATGACAGAAATGTTCCATGTCTGCATCATCCACTGCAGGAGCCACTAGCCACATGTGGGGGCTGAGCACTTGACATGTGGTTAGTGTGACTGAGAAGCTTAATTTTTTTTTACTTTGGTTTTTTTAAATTTATTTAAGTTTAAATAGCCACATGTGGCTAGTGGCTACCTTGTGGGTTAGTGCAGCCCTAAATGACCAAATAAGAGGTGGCAAGGCTTTGAAGGCACAATGATAAAGATGAAATTCCAAAGTTAAGTTAAAAGAGACAACCCAATGGCTTAAGCAACTGCTAGACATTTTTCAGAGGCAAGGAAGGATTGAGGATGGCACTAGGTGTTTGAAAGATGGTGCAGGGAAAGGAAATGACCTAAGGGAGCAGCTGGGGCACCAGTCCCCACATCCACTCCACAGAGGGCCAGGTTTATAGACAGCTGCACTGCATGGCTGGTGCAGAAAGGATGGGGTCTCTGTGTTTCCACATGTGGTTAATCTCTTGGGGCCAAGGTGACTGTTCTTGCTATCAGGCAGATTAACTGTGTATTTATGGCCTCGCCTGGAGAGTCCAAAATAAGTCATAAACAGTTCCAAACAGCACACTCAGATCCTGTTGAGGGCCTGTTTTTTCTGTATACAAGAGAGCAACTTGTTATAAACTGCTAAAAGGTTGGGGGCCGGAGGCTGGAGGATAGGGGGAAAGGAACAGAAAAGCCTCCCTCTTGGTGGGTTGCAGTGCTGGAGAGATAAGGTGAGCGGGCCTCAAGCTTCAGAGCAGATGCCCTCTTGGCTCTGCACTTTGGACAAAATGAGACACGCGAGATGATACAGGGAAAGGAATGATAGCCAGCAAGGAGGCAGCTGCCAGCAGGAAAGCACTTGGAACTGCTCTTCTTTTATCAAGAGCAGCTGTAAGTGATGGATTCAGCCTCCAATTCACATGTCTGCTTGTCTTGCTCTGACTTGGGAACTGAAAAGCAAATCATAAAAAGAAACAAAAACACAAAACAAATAATCTCTAGTTTGACTGAGGACTTTGTTTCTGAACTAATTTCAAGCAGCTTCAAGAACACTATCATTGAGGTATCCCCTCATTAAGAAATTGTGTAAGAACCTACTATAATATTCCCGGCAACAAGACAACACTCTCATCCATGCAACTATCAAATGCCATTTTAGGACTAATTTAGTATAAATTCAAATCCCCTTTTTTCATCTTCCTGGAGAAGATCAAGTTGCTCACATTTAAGTTTGTATCTTTAACCAAGAAGTTCCCCTTTTATGAGTTTATCCTAAGGGAAAAAATATCAGAGGTACACACAAACATCAATGCACACAGATGTTTATTATGGCAGTATTAATAACAAAAGAAATGATGCAAATATCCAAATGGTGGTTGGTATATTCATACAATGGAGTCTTACACAGCCATTAAAAATTCATGATTTCAGAGGCATTTACTAACATAGGCAAATGCATACTTTTATAGTGTTAAGTGAAAAAAGCAGGACTCGGAATCGCTTATAGCATGTGATCCCACTTTTCTTAGATACATGGCTTTGGCCGTGGGTATGTCTTGTTAAAAGAAACAGAAAATATGCCAAGTATTTGTAGAGGTAATCTTTGGATAGTGAAAGTAGGAATCATTTTTACCTTCCTCTTTTATACTTTTCTGAAGTTTCTAAAATTAGTGTAGTATAACATAAAATCAGAAGCATCTCATATTCCAAGGTCCCCAGTATCTGGGTGAATAAAAAGGACCCAAGGTCACCTAGATTGATAGGAATAGTCATCTATGCTGGAGACTCAGAAAGGGGGAGGGTGAAAGAGGAACGAGGGATAAGAAATTCACCTGTTGGGTACACTGCATACCGTTCCAGCAGTGGAGACACAAAAGGCCCAAACTTCACCACTACACAATTTACTGATGTAAGCAGAAACCATTTGTACCCCTAAAGCTATTGAAATAAAAAAATATATTTTAAAATAGGAAATATAGTATTCAAATTTATTATAAATTATGCAAGTTAACTACACAATGTGCAAATGTATATTGTTTAAAATTCACATTAAGGCATTACATAAAAATAATATACTTATTAAATAGTATTAGAGTTATTGGTTAATCACAAATTATGACCCTGTGCTGTCTTGAGTGGGAGGCTGCAATGAATCCATAGTAAATAATTCGTTTCTTCTTGAGAATTGTATTCTTGCTGGGAAATTATTTGCTTAGGTCTTACCCTTATGATGGCTAGAAGTTCCTAAGGTTATGAGCCTCCATTGGCCTGTTTGATTTATCCAATATAAGAAATATTTCACAGAATTTGCCCACATGCAAAATGTATATACCCTGTCCTGGAAAATATAGAAACTATTGAAACAAACAAACAAACAAAAATAATCACCTAGTCTCATAAGAACAAGTTTCTGGCCTGTTTTCTCTTTTCTGACCCAGTGAACACAGCAATTTCATTTACAGCCTCTTGGTAAATGTAAAGTCACTCCAGGCTTCCAGAAGAGTTTTTCTGAGCATTCACCAATAGATTTTATTTTTCCCACATGTATAAAAAGAAACGGGCTTCCCCTAATGTGTTTATGTGCTGGTTAAGAGAGAAATATTTCTGCTCATACCATTACAGTCTTAGAGACATTCTTTTTCTATTCCCAATTCTCATTAGTCATAACTGTCGCTTTGCCTCATTCTGAGCTACTTTCCAATCCAGAAATATGGAGAATGTTAATTCCATAAGCTCATGGACTTTGTACTAGATGATGCTGTAACTACAGCACCTAAAACGGTGTCTAGTACATACAAGACACTAAATAAATACCAAATCAATGGATGAAGGAAGGGATGGATGGATGGATAGATGGATAAAACTCCCCTTCTTGTCAAAACTAAACAAAATAAGCAAAACTTTTAGGTAAACCATTGAGTCAAATTCTGCAGCTTGGAATCCTAAAATGAAGTAAGTTTTTCAGACAAAACATAACAGATGCCCAATACCTTAGCTTATCAATAAATAAGCTAAAGAAATAAAATAAGATCAGACTAAAAGTAAGGAACTAAGCAGCCCTAATTCCTTTAATTTAGCAAATTACCTTGTCACTTGGAGTCATACTTTGTCTAGAGCCACTAATACTAGTATTTAAGTCACAGTTTTTCTTTTCTACTTTGTAACTTTTTTGTTACCTAAAATGGTAGATTTTATTTTCCAAAAGTACCCACAACAATGTTTCCTATTCCATATGCTCTTTTGAAAGGTGGTCTTGCCCTTTCCCTATCAAAAAGTAGAGTATTTCCCCGTCCCCTTGAACCTAGGTACACATTGTGACTGTATTAGCCAGTAGACTATGGAAGTGATGAGTTACGATGTGTCCATATGGTCTGCTGGAGAGACCTGAGGGTAGGCCCCGAGACCATGTGGAAAGAGAAAGATCCAGCTGAGCCGAGTCTTTCAGACGTGCCTACCAAGGCACAGGCACGTGAGTGAAGCCATCTTGGACCCTCCAGGCAAACCCAGCCACTAGCTGAAGATCAGAGTGATTCTAGTCAACACTAAAGGGAGAGCAAAAGAATTTCTCTGCTGATCCTGCCCAAATTCCTGACCCACAAAATTATACAAGAAAACTGATATTATTTTAAGCAACTGAGTTTGTGTGCAGTTTGTGACACTGCAATAGACAACTGGAACACTTACCTTTAATCGTATCACTCCACTCCACCAAAAGATGATTTTAATTCATTTAGTCAGTGTGCCAGGATAACTTAATGGAGACTAACTTTTTTATAAGTTTATTCACAAATCCCTCCAGCCCACTCCTTGAAAATAGAAGAGTGATGTGGCGGAGCAAGCCAAACTTTGAGCCCTGATGGCCTGTGATATCTCTTGCCTGCAGAATAAACAGGCTTTTGTTTACATCCAAATGTGGAGACTATGTCCCCTTCCCTGAACCCAGGTGAGCCTTCGTAATTGCATCACCCAATAGAACACAACAAGAGTGATGCTATGTGCCTTCCAAGGCTGGATCATAAAAGGTGGTACTGCTTCTGCCTGGCTCTCTCTCTTGAGAAACTTGCTCTTAGAACCCAACTGCCATACTTAGACAAAGGCTAGATTATGTGGAGAAAGTACACGTAGGTATTCCAAACAACAGCCCCAACTAAGGCCTGAGACCACAACGAGCATCAAACACCAGACCTGTGAGCAACAAAGCCTTTGAGATGATCCCAGCCAGAGCCACTTTCTGACTGCAACCTCATGTGACACCCTGAGTGAAAGAAAATTGCCCCACTAAACTCAGTCAACCACCAGAACCATAAAAATCATCACAATTAACTGTTTTATCACACCAGGTTTGGATTGATTTGTTACACAGCAATAGATAACCAGAACACAAGGTTTTAATGTCCCAAGTAAAAATAACCAGTTAGACCTTGAGCATGGCATGGGGGCAGGAAGAGGAAGATGACAAGAGAGCAGTCCTCCCACACTGACATCCTGCAGAAAAAGAAAGGAGACAGTGATAAAAACATCTGGGGAACAAAGTGTGACCCTAGGCCCTTTTCAGGACATCTGTGGGACAGATACACAATAGCAATCCATCAGAGTGGAGAAGCGATGACGTTTCTCCAAATGTCTCACTCTCCTGACTCTCAAACACTCCAACATTTTAGTCACATTGTACCATGGTTGGGTTTACCAGCTATTAGGTTTCCTACAGCTCAAAATCCCAATCACTCTACATATACTAGAAATTAGAAGAGTCCATTTCTTTGACTACTTGTTATGGACTCCTCAAGAAATAAACATGAATTTAAAGAAAGATAATTTGAATTTTGAGGTTTAAATCCTGAGGATTAGGTTCTAGCTATATGATCCAGTCTCCAATTATCTGACTTCAGTGTGTCTTTATAGAATGTAAAATGTCCAATCAAAAACCAAGGTATCCAGGTAAAAGATTGTGTATATATCAGAATATTCACAAACACTTCTGCTAAGGCCATAATCCACGCTCCTTTTTCCAATAGAGCTATAAATTCCTTTTTTTTAATTCCAATAGAGCTATAAATTCCTTTTGTTTTTAACCAACAGACTCTCTTATTATTTTCACCCATGAATTCTACTGCTTGAAATATTTTGTTAATGGTCTATACATCAGACATGAAGTAATTATTAATGTCCTACTTTTCACTAAACAAAGATAAAAAATGGCAAATCAAAGATTTTATTAACTGAGTTTCTCCAATTCTGATCAAAGCAATATACACACACGTATGTGTGTGTATATATATGTTGTGTGTGTATATAAAAATAATTGTGTCATTATTCCTGTTGTCACTAGCATCAAATTCAAACTCCACTCAGATAAAGATACATTTCCTTTCCATTGTTTTTAAAATCACTCTTGCCCACCATCTTCTCCACCTGGGCCCACCATGTCCTCAGTGTCCCTTTGAGGAAACAGCACTAGATTATTCTCTGGAAAGGACCTGGCCCTGGGCACAAGGCCACCAGTGCACATTACACAATTTATGTTGTGACCCGAAATCAGGAGATTTGCTGAGCCAGAGTCTCCTTCTCATATTTCAACTAGAAATAGAGCAAATTTGCCAGAGAGAGACAAAGGAGATAAAAGGGAAGACAAACAGAGAGAGTGGCTGATCATCTTACAGCAAAGCCTCATGCCTGGGCCCCGATGTAGGTTGGCACAAAAGTAATTGCGGTTTTTGCCATTGAAAGGAATGGCAAATGGTGCGTGTGGATATTCAGTTTTTGCATGTGGCTATTCAGTTTTCCCAGCACCCAGTACCTGTGCATCTGCCTCCTTACAGCAAAGCTCCCACTACTGAAGGCAAGTCGAGTAAAGCCTCTTATTAATCAAAAATCCTAGTCAGAACAACCCTCCCATTAAACCACCATGGTTTTCTGCTATACACTTAGCTGAATGGCTAAAAAGCCAAAAAAAAGAGAAAAGAAAAACAGAAAACAACAAGTGTTGGTGAAGATGTGGAGTGACTGGAACTCTCATAATGGCTGGTGAGAGTGTAAATTGGGACAATTAGAAAACTCTTTAGCTATATCTAGCAAAGCTTGTCATACACTTACACAGTGATTCAGCAATTCCACTGCCGGGCACATTGGCTCATACCTGTAATCCTATCACTTTGGGAGGCCAAGGCAGGCAGATCACTTGACCCCAGAAGTTCAAGCCCAGCCCGGGCAACATAGTGAGACCTCATCTGTAAAATAATATAATAAAATAAATATAAAAATAATAAATAATAAATAAAATTTAAAAAATAAATGAAAATTAAATTCTGTGCTTTAGGGTAAGCAAAAAGCACATAAAAGCTACCTCTTAACAAATTTTTAAATGTACAATATTATTAATCAAAATAATATAGTTAGACATCTCTCTTAACAAATTTTTAAGTGTACAGTATAGTATAAACACAGTGTTGCACAGCAGATCTCCAGAATGTTTTCATCTTGCATGAATGAAACTCTATAGTCATTGAACAGCAACTCCTTTCTTCCCTCTCCAAGCTCCTAGAAACCATAATTCTACTCTCTGTTTCTATGAGTTGTACTAGAGATTTCATATTAAGTGGAATCATGCAAGATTTGTCCTTCTGTGATTAGCTTATTTTACTTAGCAAAATGTCCTCAAGCTTCATCCATGTTATAGTATATGACAGGACCTCCTTCTTTTTTATAGATAAATAATCTTCCATTTAGGTATATACCATATTTTCTTTATTTATTCATCCATCAATTTGCATTTAGCTTGTTTCTACCTCTTAGCTTTTGTAAATGATGCTGCTATGAACATGTGATTGCAGATATCTCTTTGAAATCATGATTTCAATTATTTTGAATGAATACCCACAGTAGGATTGCTGAATCATATAGAATTCTGTTTTTAATTTTTTGTGGAACCTCTATATTATTTTCCATAGTGGCTGCACCATTTTACATTCCCATCAACAGTGTACAAGGGTTCTAATTTCTCCTCACCAGCCCTTATTGCTTTCTGTTTTTTTAATAATGCCCATCCTAACAGGTATGAGGTGATGCTTTATTGTGCTTTTGATTTGCATTTGCATATTGAGCATCTTTTCATATACCTCTTGGTAACTGATATGTCTTCTTTGAAGAAATATCTATTCAAATCATTTGCCCACTTATTATTCAGGCTACTCAGGGGTGTTTTGCTATTGAATTGTAAGTTTCTTACATATTTTGGACACTAAACACTTATCAGAAATATGACTAGCAAATATTTTCTTCCATTCCATAAATTGCCTTTTCACTTTGATTGTTTCCTTTGCTGTACAGAAGATTTGTAGTTTGATGTATTAGCATCTGCCTATTTTTGCTTTTGTTACCTGTATTTTTGATATAATATCCAAGAAATCATTGCCAAGCCAAATGTTATGAATCTTTTCCCTATGTTTTTTTCTAAGAGTTTTATAGTTTCAGGTCTTACATTTAAGTCTCTAATCCATTTCGAGCTGATGTTTGTGTATGGTGTAAGGTAAGAGTCTAATTTCATTCTTTTGAATGTGGATATTCAGTTTTCCCAGCACCATTTGTCACACAGATTATCCTTTCCCCCATTGTGCAGTCTTGGCACCCTCATTGAAGATGATTTGACCGTATATACATGGGTTTATTCTCTGGGCTTTCTATTCTGTTCCCTTGGTCTATGTGCCTGTCTTTACATCCATGTCATACTGTTTTTATTGTTGTAGCTTTGTAATATGTTTTGAAATCAAGACGTGTGACACCACTAGCTTTGCTCTTTCTCAAGACTGTTTTGGGTATTTGGGGTCCTTTGTGGTTCCATATGAATTTTCAGATTTTTTTTTTACTTTTGTAAAAAAAAATGCCATTGGGATTTTGATGGGGATTGCATTACATTTGTAGAATGCTTTAGGTAGTATGGACATTTTAACAATTTTAAATCTTGCAATACATGAATACAGAATGTCCTTCCAAGTATTTGTGTCTTCTTTAATTTCCCTCAACAGTGTTTTTTAGTTTTCAGTGTATAAGTCTTTTACCTCCTTGCTTAAGGTTTTTTCCTTAAATGTTTTATTCTTTTTCATGTTATTGTAAGTGGAATTGTTTTTTTTAATTTCCTTTTCAGATTATTCATTGTTAGTTATTATAAAAGTGCAACTAGTTTTTATATGTTGATTTTGTATTCTGCAATTTGGCTGAATTTGTTTATTAGTTGCAAGAGGTTTTTTTGTGGAATTAAGATTTTCTATATATAAGATAGTGTCATCTGCAAACAAATAACTTTACTTCTTCCTTTCCAATACAGATGTATTTTACTTTTTTTTTCTTGCCTAACTACTCTCATAGGACTTCCAATACCATGTTGAATAGAAATGGCAAGCATGGGCATGTTTGTCTTACTCCTGATCTTAGAGGGAAAGCTTTCCATTTTTAATCATTGTGTATGATATTAGCTTTAGGCTTTTTCTATATTGGCCTCTTTGTTTTTAAATTATCTGTGACTTCCTTGCATTTTCCATTTGTGGACATCTAGAATTATCAAGAGTGGTAGAGTTTGATTAATGCTTAAATGCAGTTATACTCACAGGGCTCAATTCTAAGACCTTTCTAGTTTTCCAGTTTGGACCTTTTCTCAGAAAATATTGATATGAAAGAGAATAATTTCAATCTCTTTATTCTCTCTTAAAAATTTCTTGAAAAATACATTTAAGAGTACCACATTATTTTATGGCCCTATCTTACCACAAATACAGAACAGGACATATCAATTGAGATTCCACCTAAATTGGAGTAAGTTTGTCATGGCACTATCTGCTTCCTGGGAGCTAGTATATTTGTTATGCAACTCAAAAGACTGTGCTAATTGTTGACCTAACAATAGTGCAGCTGCAAGCTTAAAAAACACCAGGTCCACACAGGACAGCTTAAAAAATACAAAAGTACATCACTTGCAGCAGGCAAAGTGACTAAATTCAGCCCCACAGGCAAAATCAAGTATTTGACCCATTTTTTTCCTTATGACTGGACAGTCTGCAGGTTTAATGAACAAATGTGTTTAATATGGTTCATGAAAATAATGACACTACCAAACAAAAAAGGAAACTGGTTGATTAATTCTATGCCAAGGACCCATCTTTGTCTGCACACCCATGGCTTGGGATCTGCATTACCTAGAAATGTACTGTTCAATACAACATGTGGCTACTAGCCTTGAAATATGGCTAATGTGTCAGAGAAATTGAGTTTTTAGTTTTATTTCACTTTAATTTATTTAAATTAAAATTTAAAAACATCATTAACTCAATTGTTGGAAAAATCTTAAGTATATTTCAACCTGGTATGAAATCCACTTTTCAATCATAAATTTTACAATTGCAAACTACAGATTATATACTTCTGATATAAATTTAGGGCCCAAATTGAAATGTACTCTAAGTGGAAAATTCACAATTTCAAAATTTTAGTACTATAAAAAATATGTAAAATATTAATAATTATTAACGTCTATTATATTTTAAAATAATACTTGGAACATAAGTTAAATAAAATATATTGTTCAGATTAATTTTATCTATTTCTTTGTACTTTTTAGTGTGGATTCTAGAAAATTTTAAATTACATATGTGGCTCACTTTTTATTTCTACTGGAGAGCCTTGACCTAGAGAATTGCCTTAATTCTTCAATTCACTTTTGGAATGAGAATCTAGTGAATGAAGGAAAGATTCCATGTCCTGTTTTTATTAACCCTATGTTGTCTAAACAGCTATCAATTACATTATTTCCTCTTTTATTCCAACTTTTATCTATGCCTGCCATGCTCAAGTGCTGTATTCATTACTGAGGGTATGGAATAAAAATCCCAGCACCAGCCTTCCAGGATCTTAGAATCTAGTGAAACAGTGACCAAGTAAACAAAAAAATTGGAACAGTATGATAAGTTAGGAAAAGATATGCATGGGGGACATGGAAATGCAAAGAATATCATTTAACTTGGCCAGCAGGAGAAGGTAGGGAATATCTGGAGGCAGGGACAGTTGAACAATGAATTGTTCGTGCTGTATGTTTAATGCTTCCTTTTTGATTGATAGTCTATGCACACAGCCCATGTTGATTACTCCTCTCTGAATGGATTCACATCTCCTTGTGCTTACAGTTTTTTCAAATATAATAAAGAGAGGAGATGGACGCTTGCATTAGCACAGCCTAAAGTTTTTTAAAAAAATTTTTGTATTGCTACATAACCAATGTACATATTTTGGGGGTAGAATTTCATTTCAGGTTTGTTGTCTCAAAAACTCCATATGCCCTCTGCCCTTAGGGAAGCACTTCTCCTCAGCATTCAGGATCCCCTGGTTTAGGGATAAGCAGACCACCTAGGCGGGAGTTTGGCAGGACTTGGAGAGGAACCCTGAGTCTTTGGTTTGTTGATTAGTGTTTGTTCATCTCTGCTCAGCTGCCTCTGCTCAAAGCCACAAAGCAGTGGCTCTTTCTTCTTCACCCTCTTAGCTCCAGACTGATTCTCTTGATAAGGAAGTTGGAGAGAAAAAAATGATGTCCCTTAACTCCTCTTTTTTGTTCTCATTAAAAGATACTCCAAAACCCCTAACTTATTTTTTCAGAAAAATTTGCACCCTACTCTTGACCTAGAGTGCTATATTGGCTTATCAGCTATTGACATCCTTTTCAACTTCATCCAAATTTCATTTTATTTGACTTTGTTAAAAGACAAACCTTTGACCAATTAAACATTTTAATTGAGCAAAGAACAATTCATGCAATTCTGGTTCAGGCAGCCCCTGAACCAGAATAGATTCAGGGAGACTCCAGTGTAGCCATGTGGTAGAAATTAATGGACAGAAAAGGCAAAGTGACATACAGAAAACAGAAGTGAGGTACAGAAACAGCTGGATTGGTTAAAGCTCAGCATTAGCCTTATTTGAGCATAATTGGCTGCCTGTGACTGGCTGAAAGTCAGTGATTGGCACAAGAGTAGGTTACAGTCTGTTTACACATCCAGTTAGGTTACAGTTCACTATGTGAAAGTTTACAGAGAAACCTTGAGACTGAACTTAAAATATGTAAGAAGGCAGCTTTAGGCTAAACTTAACCATTTATAATCAGAATCTATGGTTGCCTGTTTCACACCCTCACCTCACACTCTAAATGCCTCTTCCCTTCCTCACTCTGTTTGACTTTGCTTTCTTCTTCATTGCAGTGGCGAGAAGAGAACTTCTGCAGACTCCCACCACACGGCCACCAAATGGCCATCATGCCTTGCCCAGTAGTTCTGCTTTGTTTCTAGAGATTAGATGTGTTTTTATCAAACTGTAACAAATCAGTACTTTAGCCTCTTCCCAGACAATGCCAGGACCTTAGAACACTAATTTCATTTACTTCTTCCCCTTTTCTGTGCTACTGTTGTATATTTTAATCCTATGTACACTCTAAGTTGTGATATTGTAAAATATATGTTTGGTCTTTGTTCCCATTTCCTGTCATACAAAGCCTAAAATTCATGGAATCTCCAAAGTGATGTTATTTCGTGTGCTAATGAGTTGACAGATGGCTGGCAACCTCTATGTAGCTTCCGGATGGGGCCTGGTCACAGGAAAGACCAAGGCAACATTAGAGGATTGGGACTTTCAGCTCATGCCCCATCTTCTGGGGAGGGGAGGAGGCTGAAGGTTGAGTCGATTATCAATAGCCAATGATTTAATCCACCATGCCTATGTAATGGAGCTTCCATAAAAACCCAAAAGGACAGGGTTCTGGGGGCTTTCAGATAGCTGAATACATGGACGTTCCTGGAAGGTGGCCCATATAAGAGGGCATGGAAGTCCCACATCCCTTCCCACATAACCTTACCCAATGCATCTCTTCATCTGTATTTTTTGTAATATCTTTTATAATAACCCAGTAAATGTAAGTAAAGTGTTTACCAGAGTTTTGGGAGCTTCCCCGGCAAATTAGTTGAACCCAAGAAGGGAGTTGTGAGAAACCCTACTTACAGCTGATGGGTCAGAAGCCAGTGGGGCTTTTGATTGGCATAGAAGTGGGGGCAATCTCATGGGACTGAAACCTTAACCTGTGGGATCTGATGTTCTCTCCAGGAAGATAGCATCAGAATTGAATTGGAGGACACCAGCTGGTGTCCACTGCAAAACTGATTGCTTGGTTAGTGTGCAGAGAAAACTCCCACATATTTGGTTACAGAAGTCTTCTGTGTTGACTACTGAGTGAGGGAATAGAAGAAATACTTCGGTTTTTTCCCTATATCATTGGATAGATCATACAAGATATTATTATTGTTTTATGTCATTAATACTCATTTAGAAATATTTTCATGGGTTTTTTTCCACTCTTCATCTCTCCCTGCATCTCCAAGCTTCCACCTGACACAATCTTCCTACTGCCTGATAAATACCCTTGGGTATTCCCTTTAGTCAAGTCTATCAGTGACAAATGGTGTTTGCCAGAAAAGATATTTACCTTTATTGTTGAAAGATACTTCACGGGATTCCATTTTAGAACTTTGAGGCCGGGCACAGTGGCTCACGCCTGTAATCATAACACTTTGGGAGGCCAAGGCAGGCGGATCACTTGATGTCAGGAGTTCAAGACCAGCCTGGCCAACATGGTGAAACCCCATCTCTACTAAAAATACAAAACATTATCTGGACATGGCAGCACGTGCCTGTAATCCCAGCCACTCAGGAGGCTGAGGCAGGAGAATCACTTGAGCCCAGGAGGCGGAGGTTGCAGTGAGCCAAGATCACGCCACTACACTCCAGCCTGGGTGACAGAGCAAGACTCCATCTCATTTAAAAAAAAAAAATTGAAGATATTATTTCTTTCTGTCTTGTAGCTTCCACTGTTTCTACTGAGATGTTGGGGACAGTCTAATTGATTCTCCTGAAAGGTAATCCTTTTTCCTCCAGCTGGTTTTAGATATTCTTTTTGTGTTTTTTTAAACAACTTTACAATAATGAAAATAAGTGTATGCTTCATTTTTTTTCATCTTGCTTATGGTCTGTGGGGTTTCTTGAATTTTTGGTATCGTAATTTTTATGATTTTGAAAAACTCTCAGTCAGTATTTCTTCAAATATGCATCTATCCTTTCTCTTCTTTGCTTCCCTTTTTAGACCTCAATTACACATACTGCCTTTGTGTCTGACCCTGTATTCTGTGCTTCTTTTTGTGTCCTTGTGCTTCTTTCTATTTTCTTCTGACTACTTTCCATTTCACTCATTCTCTCTTCAGCTCTATCTAGTATGCTATTAAACCCACTCATTAAACTTTTATTTTTTTTTGTTCTAAAATTCCCATCTGGTTATTTATATATATTTTTCAGTTCTCTATTTAAAGTTTTAATCCTGACTCCTGGAAACTTGAACATCATTTAAAAGTCAATATGACAACTCAGTTATCTGAACTCCTTATATAAAATTATTAATAATATTGTTAGAAACAAAAATAATTTTCTGAAAATTTGTATTAGCACACATAGGACCTTGTTATACACTTTTAACAAAACTTAAAATTATCAGCAAACCTTATCTAAATAGATGTGATTAGAAAAAAAGACAGGCTATAGTACATGGCAACATTTTCAAACATTCCCACTTTTTTTCAAATAAATAAGCATCTATATTGTGAAGTAGTGCACCAACTAGGAGAAAAACCTTTATTTGATATCAAAGACATTGCCAGTAACTCAGAAATTAGATTTATTATCCATTGATGGTTTATCCCTAATCTGCGCCAAAATACTACACAGTAGGAGACCATAAAACTGTGGCACAATTGAGAATACAGTTTTTGTCTAAACTCTAAATTATAAGGCACTTAGCATTTTAAGTCACCCTTTGTTTAGAAACACATATTGCGATGTGTATAAATTCTATTCACCACAGAAGAGATAATGGCATAATCAAGATTATATTTTCTGAGATATTTAACATTTATCACGCCACAGTATTTTGTTAATAATGTTAGATTCCAATACTTTCCCAGAATTTATTTCAGTTGCCAAAATTCAAAACTGTTTTTAAAATATTCAGTTCAAATACTGAAACCTTAGAATTCTATTTGCAAACACCTAAGAATATGATTTTCAACTATGTAATAAACATGCTTTGTTTATTAAATATAATCATGTATTTATCATCATACTAACATAAAAAAGTGCCTGAAGATCTTCTTTAGTAAATTCAACATCATATAATGAGTCAAGATGAATTACTAAATTTTGCCCAAATGAGTGAAAAAAATAGCACTTTTCCAGCAAGTTTCAAAACTTAGAAAACACAATATTCTCAAGGACAGAGAACTGAAGTTTGTTTCTTTGGAGTCATAATTTGACGATGAACCAATGTTAACAGAGTTCTTAATAGCAAACAAGCTCAAACAAACATTTTGGCTTCCCTTGAATATATACCACCAAACCCTGGCCAAACTAATACACAAGTGAAAATAATAGACTTACTCTGTTTCAGCGGTTTGTAATATGTATGCATTCTGAAAATGAAGAGTCAAGCTCTGTGCTGGACAAATCTAGTTTGGCATAATAAAATTAAATACATAAAGCTTGCTTCTGATCACATTCTTGTATTTTCAGTTGACAAAAAAAAATTATATACATTTATTTTGTACGACATGCTGTTTTAAAATATGCATACATTGCAGCATGACTAAATCCAGTCCCACTTTCTGACTGCTAGAACTGATCAACTCTTTGTACTTCTATCTTCAGCCCATCCTTTATTTTGCTCATGGTAAATCCCGTTTACCATGGCTTACAAAATCTAAGAGCAAAGACAAGAGACAAACAAACATAAACCAACCTGGTACTCCATTAGCCCCATTTTACAGATGTGGATCCAAGGGTATAGTTGCTCACCATAACCCAGCTATGAAGTGACAGGGTGAGGACTAAAGTCTAGGTGTGCTTAATACCAAAAATGCACACTTTCCACTAAGAGTGGTCTCAGACTACATGAATCAGAATCACCTGGGGTGCTTATTTCAAATGCATGCAGAGAGGAAGAGAAAGGCAGACAGACACAGGCTTGTGTGAAATGTCCCCAGGTCTTACCAGACAAGGTTGAAAGAAAGAACTTACAGTGAAGGAAGTAGAAGGGAATGTTATCCTGCGTGTGAGAAAAAATGCGTGAAATAAATGAAAGTATGAGCAGAGAAAACACACATACACACACATGCACTCACACATCTTACCACAGGTATAGCCCCAATAAGGGGATCAAAGAAGTAGTAGGGAGAAAGTATGTGGCCCCTGTGGTGATAGAGTCAGGCCAGAAGAGTCCAGCAGCTGGGTCTATTGTGGGGAAGGTTTAGGAAAAGGGGGCTTGCATTTTGCATTGATGTGTATAAAACTTCATAACTTGAGTGGAACCTAACAGGGAGGAAGTTTGGCATTGATGTTGCCCACTTTTATCTATAGCTGCTTTTGCCCTTACATTTGTAAAGTATCTCTAACATGAATGGAGAATTGTACGCTCATCAAATATTCAGATTACTGTAAAATCACCATACAACTGGTTAATCTATTATAAGAAACAGACTGTGATTAAATATATATGTAAATATACATAAATGCATACACATACACACATATATACATATGTATGTAAATATGCATATATAATATTGCCCATGGTTAAACTGGACATAATTATTCATTTGTGTTCATTTTGTAGGCATTTTGTGAGTGAGCCTTTAACATGTGCTTACTGATTAAATGGGAAAAAAAACTCACAGTTGCCTATCTAAATTCAAAATTTTCATAGGGGAAAGAATTAATCACACTGTGATCCTAAGCAGAAAATCAGATCATATCAGAATTAAAAGAGAGAATGGTGATTGTCAGGGGCTGGGGTGTCGGGAAAATGGGGAGATATTGGTCAAAGAGTAAATACAAACTTTCATCTATAAGATGAATAAGTTCTAGGGATCTAATATACAGCATGATAACTATAGTTAATAATAACTAAAATTGCTAAGAGAGTTAAATGTTCTCATCACACAAAAAAGGTAACTGCATCAGGTGATGAATATGTTAATTAGCTTGATTATAGGAATCATTACACAAGGTATACATACAGCAAAACACCATGTTGTATACCTTAAATTTATACAATATTTATTTGTTCATCATACTTCAGTAAATCTGGCAAATAAATTAAATAATAAAATGTTATTTAAAAGAAATTTTATTTGGTATATAACATACACAGCTTACCAGTATAAAAAAAACTTCTAGAGAGAAAAATCAGAAAAAAAAGAGAAAAAATAATTTTAGATGAGTTTTAACAGATCAATTAAGCCTGGTAATTACTGGGGCTACCAAATATCATCAAACTACATGCAGAAGGGGTATTTAAGCATAAGAGGACAAGATTTTAAAAATTAAAAAAAAAAAACTGAGACAGGAATTAAAGACACAGACTGCCAAGGTTGGCTGATAATCGGCCACTCTCCAGTGGGGAGGAACCATAGGTCTCTCTTAACAATTAACAGTAAAGATGGGGGGCAGATTTTGTATATGCATATATGTTAGACAGGGTCTCACTCTATCACCCAGACTGAAGTGTAATGACGCATGCCACCACACCCAGCTAATTTTTGTAATTTATGTAGAGATGGGGTTCTGCCATGTTGCCCAGGCTGGTCTCAAACTCCTGGGCTCAAGCCATCCGCAACAGCCCCAGCACATCATAGGCCTCACACCAGCTAACATCCAATTGAACTGGGCAAGTCAAATGGCCAAGTCCAAAGTCAAGACATCCGGCCATCTACTCTGCCCACCATGACACCATGGCAAGGATGGGATGTAAAATATTACTACAATAGAGTGAAGAATTGGGACACAGAGCCTTTGTGATGACCTAAATAATTATGACTAATAGAAGCAGGAGGAACAGACAAATGTCAGATAATTATTTATTCTACCTTCATCTTCAGAAGCTATTTTCTAACATGAAGTCTTTCATTATCCTATTTTACCCTACAAGTTTCCTCAAAATGTCAGTCTGTATCTCACATGTACATTACTAACAGGTCTATTATTACACTTGGCACTGTCTTTTTTAAAAGTCACATCCCAAATCTGAAAGAATGTAAAGATGTAAATACCAGGAGAGTAAACACGTGGACCACTTTGTGTACTTCCACAATCCGCCCCATGGCCCAGGTGAGGAGAAATCTCAGTGTGCACATATTGTTGTTGTTCTTATTGAAATGCACAAAGGAGACTAGAAGAATATTTAGATTTGAACTGTCTTCTGGCTGGTTGTCCAAGTTAGAGGTTACTGAAGTCTAGGATACATCAGAATATGCCAACACAGGGCGTCAAGAGATTAGGGGAGGGGCACTGTGGTTCACACCTATAATCCCAGCACTTTGGCAGGCCAAGGCAGGAAGATCACTTGAGCCCAGGAGTTTAAGATCAGTCTGGACAACATAGAAAGACCTCATCTCTACAAAAAAAAAAAAAAAAAGTAAATTAGCTGGGCATGGTGGTGTGTCCTGGGACCTGCAGTCCCAGCTACTTAGGAGGCTGAGGCAGGAGGATCTCT